>NC_000012.12:73066188-73217703 GCF_000001405.40 Homo sapiens
GGCTATACAATTTTGGCTATACAATAGGTTACTGAACACATTTTGTTGCAAGGGTGGCATAGTGACCATTGGACTATTTTGGCTATTATTATCTGAACACATTTTCTGTTATTTTTTGGGAGAACAGCATTCTGAGAATCTAAGAAAGAGGTGGTAATCCAGCTCCTACAATTAGACTGCAAAGCATCATATGATTTAGACTAAATCAATCAGATTCTCCAATCTGAACTTGACTGTTTAGAGAGTAATGCAAAATCACAGATATAACAGGAATAGCTAAGACGTTACTCTTCAGTGTTATCAGAAATATCTTAGGTCAATGAACTGTGGCACCAAGCATCCAATGACATGTCCAGGATGGCAATCCTTGGTAGACTGCTCCCATTGTGAGAACTTGATAAGGTTACTCCTGGCCAGTGCCTCTTGGTTTCCAGACTGGTTTTGAGTCTATTTCAGCTTTTGCTGGTAGTTCTTAAACTCTGAGGCTCTTATTTTATCTCATGGAACTATAGGACTACTTGGTTTGTTTCTTGAAACTCTTGTCAAAGAAAAGAGATGACCTCAATTCCTTGGTGCCTGAAAAAAGGTTATCTTATCATGTTTTCTACAAAGGCTGAAGGAAGAAAAAAAGATCCTCACCTATTGCTAAGGGAAAAAAAAATCACCATTAGACAGAGGCTTGAAAAAAAATAAAGCAAAAGTTTTAGTATGTTTTGCAATAGTAGCTTAAGACCCTGAGACAATTCTAAAAAGAATAGATTCTAGAGTTTTCCAGGCAAACCTGCTAGGAACTAATTCTGAGGAATCTTGATTTGGTCTCAGAATCCCCACATTGGCTCCCTGACTGGTAAGGGTGAGGGCTACTGTGGTAGGAAAAACCAAATGGAAGCCATTAGAGCTGCCTCAACCTAAAAAAATAGTAAATCAAAAACAATATCGTGTATCTGGAGGGACTGTGGTGATTAGTGCCACCATCAAGGACTTGAAAGGTGCAGGCTTGCTGATGCAGGTCTGGGTGCCTTTTCTATGCCCTACAAGCAGGAGTGATCACTCAGGTGGGAGAGGATCCTCTGCTTTCTGCATAGCATTAGATATCAGAAAAAGCACCCACATAACAATCTGGCCACTTTTCCAGAGGGCTGCTGTGGTATGCTAGAAGTCTACTCCAGTCCCTAGTCACCCTGGATTTTCCAGTACCTGGAGGTAGCACCAGCGAAGGCTGTGAATCTGCAGAGAAGGCAGCCTGCACCTCCCTCTGGGAGCTCCATCTTAGGGAGGTATGGACTTGTTGCCAGCCTGAACACACGTATAGTAGGTGGCTGGAGTCCCCAGTAGGGAGGTTCCACTCAGTGAGGAGGAATGAGATCAGAAACCCACTTAAACAAGCAGTCTGGCCACATTTTTATAGAGTAGCTGTGCTGTGTTGGGTGATTGCTTCTGCCCTGATTGGCTTGGGCTATCCAAAGCCAAAAGGCTGGAACAGCTAAGTCATCTGAACGGCAAAGATGGTGACCTGCTCCTCCTACTGGGAGCTCTGTCCTAGAGAGTGTTCAAATCTTTGTTGGGAAGAGAACACCGGTGGGGTTGCCTGGAGGCCCTGGTTTGGGAGTTACACCCAGTGAGGAGTTGCGGGATGGAGGACCTGAGCGGTCTGGCCACATTTTCATAGTGCAGATGTGCTGTGCTGGGACACCACTCCTGCCCCTGGCCAGCTTCGACTCTCCAAAGCCTGAAGGCTGGGATGGGTAAGTTGCCAAAACAGCAAAGATGGTGGCATGCTCCTCCCTCTGAGAGCTTTGTCCCAGGGAGTTTTCAAATCTCTGTTGGTGGGAGAACACTGGTGAAGGTGGTAGGAGACTCTGGTTGGGAGGTCTCACCCAGTGAGGATGAACAGGATGGGGATTCTGCTTTAAAAAGCAGCCTGGCCATATTTTCATAGTGCAGCTCTGCTATGCTTGAAGATACCTTGCAGCCCTGGTCAGCTTGGACTCTCCAATGCCCTAAGGTTGAAATGGCTAAATTGCTCAAACAGCAAAGATGACAGCCCACCCCTCTCCCTGGGAGCTTTGTCTCAGGTAGGTATAATCCTGCTACTGGTGGCTGTCTAAAATTCCAAGCCAGTGGGTCTTATGCTGTGACGTGCCATGGAAGTGGGGCCTGCAGACTGTTGCTGCTTGGTCCCCTGGATTCTGCCATTTTCCTAGGGAGGGGCTGATATGGGGGGATCTAACCTCGCATTTTGCCAGCGTTGTAGCTGTTTTTGCCAGGCTGCCCGGAAAGTCCTACTACCTATGGCATGGGGTCTCCATGAATGCCTGAGCAGCTCCTCTGCCAAGATTCCATGAAGCTCTCTGTCAAACTTAAGGCCTTGGTGGAATAGGTTCATGAGGGGATCTTTTGACCTGAAGATTGCAAAAAGTCATGAGAGAAGTATAGATTCCTGGGGTCACACATTCACTAACTACTTCCCTGGGATGGGGAGGTTCCCTTGGCTCAGTATCACTCCCAGATTGGCTGCCATCCTTCATTACTTTTCTCCATTCTCCATGGGTTGAGTTGTTTTGTGATTATCCCCAATGCAAATACCCAGATGTTTCAGCTGAAGGTGCTGTGTTTACTCGCCCCTTCCATTCCTCTTCATGAGAGCCACAAATACTGGCTGCTTCTAGTTGGCCATCTTGGTCACCTCCCCCATCTCTGATTTATTTTAGCAGTATTTCGTAATTCTCATTGGGGAGATCTTTCACTCCTTGTTGAGCTGTATACCTAGACATTTTATTCTTTTTGTGGCTATTGTGAATAGAATTGCATTCTTGATTCGTCTCTCAGCTTGGACATTTTTGATATATAGAAGTGCTACTAATTTTTCTACATTAATTATATATTCTAAAACTTTACTGAAGTTATTTATCAGATATAGGAACTTTTGGGCAGAAACTATGAGGTGTTCTAGGTATAGAATCAGATCATCTGCAAACAGAGATAGTTTGACATTCTATCTTCTTATTTGGATGGTTTTTATTTATTTCTCTTGCCTGATTTCTCTGGCTAGGGCTTCCAGTACTATGTTGAATAGGAATTGTGACAGTGGGCATTCTTGTCTTACTTTGGTTCTCAAGATGAATGCTTCCAGTTTTTACCCATCCAGTTTGATGTTGGCTGTTGGTTTCTCATAAATGTCTGTTATTATTCTGAATTATATTTCTTCAATTCCTAGGTTATTGAGGGTTTTTAACATGAAGGGATGTTTGGTTTACTCAAAAGCATTTTCGCATCTATTGAGAGAATGATGTGGTTTTTGTCTTTACTTCTGTTTATGTGATGAAACATATTTATTGATTTGTATATGTTGACCCAAACTTGCATCCTAAGGATAAAGCTTATTTGATTGTGGTGGGATTAGCTTTTTGATGTGCTGTTGGAGTCAGTTTGCTAATATCTCATTGAGGATTTTTGCATGTATGTTAACCAAGGATATTGGTCTGAAGTTTTCTTTTTTATTTTGTTCTGTCTCTGCCAGGTTTTCATATCAGAATGATTTTGGCCTCCTAGAAAGAGTTAGGGAGGAGTCCCTCCCCCTCAACATTTTGGAATAGTTTCAGTAGGAATGGTGCCAGCTCTTCTTTACTCATCAGTTTGAATTGAGCTGTGAATCCATCTCCTGAGCTTTTTCTACTTTGCAAGCTTTGTATTGCTGATTTAATTTCAGAATTTATTATTGGTCTGCTCAGGGTATCAATTTCTTCCTACTTAAATCTTGGAAGTTGTATGATTCCAGGAATTTATCCATTTCTTGTAGATTTTCTAGTTTGTGTGCATAGAGGTGTACATAACAGTCTGTGAGGCATTTTTTTATTTCTGTGGGGTCCATGTTAATGTCCCCTTTGTCATTTCTGATTGTGTTTATTTGGATAATTTTCTTATTAGTCTAGCTAGTGGTCTGTCTATCATATTAATTATTTCAATGAACCAATTCCTAGATTGGTCAATCATTTATGTGGTTCTTTTGCAACTCAGTATCCTTTAGTTCAGGTCGGATTTTGGTTATTTTCTGTCTTCTGCTAGCTTTGCGATTGGTTTGCTCTTGTTATTCTAGTTCCTCTAGGTGTGATGTTAGGTTGTTAATTTGAGTCTTTTCTAATTTTTTGATGTGGAAATGTAAACATTTTTATGTCCTAGAAATTCTGGTATGTTGTATCCTTGTTCTTATTAATTTCAAAGAATTTCTTGATTTCTGCTTTATTTTCATTGTTTGCCCAGAAGATGTTTAGGAGGAGGTTGTTTAATTTCCATGTACTTGTATGGTTTTGAGCGATATTCTTAGTATTGATTTCCATTTTTATTGCATTATAGTCAAAGAATGTGGTTGGTATGCTTTATTTTATTTGCTGAGAATTATTTTATGGCCAATTATGTGGCTTATTTTAGAATATGTGCCACGTGCAGATGTGAAGAATGTATATTCTGTAAATTTTGGGTGGAGAGATTTGTAGATAGACATCTCTTAGGTCCATCTGGTAAACTGTTGATTTCAGGTCCTGAAACTCTTTTTTAGTTTTCTGCCCCAGTGACTTATCTAATACTTCCAGTGGGTATATTAAAGTCTCTCAATATTATTTTGTGATTATCAAAGTTTATTCATAATTCTCTAAGAACTCATTTTATAAATCTGGGTGCTCCTGTATTGGATGCACATATATTTAGAATAGTTAGATCTTCTTATTGAATTAAATCCTTCACCATTATTTAATGACCTTCTTTTTCTTTTTTTATTTGATTGTTATTAACTTAAAATCTGTTTTGTCTGAAATTAGAATAGCAACCTTGCTTTTTTGTTTTTCTGTTGGCTTGATAGATTTCTCTCCCACCCTTTACTTTGAACATATGGTTGTCATTGCATGTGAAATGGGTTTCGTAAAGACAGCATGCATTTGGGTCTTGCTTTTTTATCCAACCTGCCACTCTTAACTGGGGGTATTTAGCCCATTTACATTCAAGGTTAATATTGTTGTGGACAGATTTGATCCTGTCATTGTGTTGTTAGCTGGTTATCATGCTGACTTGATTATGTAGTTGCTTTATAGTATCAATGTTCTATGTACTGAAGTGTGTTTTTTGGTGGCCAGTAATGTTTTCATTTTCATATTTAGCACTCCTTCAAGGACCTCTTTTAAGGTAGTTATGGTGGTAACAAATTTCCGTAGCATGTGTTTGTCTGGAAAGGATGTTTCTTCTTTATTTATGAAGTTTAGTCTGGCTGGATATACATTGCCTGGTTGGAATTTTATTGCTTTATGTATGGTGAATATAGGCTTCCAATCTCTTCTGGCTTGTAGGGATACTGCTGAAATGTCTGCTGTTAACCTGATGGGTTCCTGTGATGGGTAATACAAAGTGTCAACTTGATTGGATTGAAGGATGCAAAGTATTTATCTTGGATGTGTCTGTGAGGGTGTTGCCGAAGGAGATTAACATTTGAGTCAGTGGGTTAGGAAAGGCAGACCCACCCTTAATCTGGGTGACCACCATTGAATCAGCTGGCAGCTCAGCTAGAATATGAAGCAGGCAGAAAAATGTGAGAAGACTAGGCTGACTAGGCTGACCTAGCCTCCCAGCTTACATCTTTCTCCCATGCTGGATGCTTCCTGCCCTCAAACATTGGACTCCAAGTTTTACAGTTTGGGGGCTCAGACTGGCTCTCCTTGCTCCTCAGCTTCCAGATGTCCTGTTTTGGAACCTTGTGATCATGTGAGTTAATAAACTCCTCAGCTTGCAGATCCCCTATTGTGGAACCTTGTGATCATGTGAGATAATACATAATAAACTCCCCATCCCTCTCTCTATATAGATATAAATATATCTATACAGCAGATCTATATAGGGATAAATATATCTATATCTATCTCCACATATACAGAGCTGTATATTTTGTGTGTGTGTGTGTGTGTGTGTGTGTGTGTGTGTGTGTGTATCCTATTTTATATTTTAAGGGACTAGTACTGGGACCCTTGCTTAGTTCTCTGTTCCCTTTATGTTATGTACCTGCTGTACTGGCAGTACTGAAGTGTTTCCAGTCTACTTACCACAACACTTCAGTGGTGCGTGTTGGCCAAAGTGCTTCGTTGGCACAGTGGCAGTGACATCTATGCTTGCTCATATGTGCCAGCAGCCATGGTGTGGTGGGGTGCATGCCAGTTGCCATGGTCAGTGCACCGGCAGGAGCAAGTCAGTGGTGTTCCTGTGAGTACTTGTACTGCCCCTGCCACCAGCATGGAGGGGACAGGGCACTGGTGGGGATGAGGTTGCTGGAGTCTATTCAAGCATTTGTGCTGTCTCTGGCAGTGGTGGAGCAGGATGCCCACATGTCAGCTGGGGTAGGATAACGGTGTGTGCTCATGCTGGTAGTGGTGAGGTGGTGAGGTGCATGTGCACATGCACATCAGTGGGGAAGGAGAGGTGAGGTTCACTTGTGCACACAAATAGACAAATTGGTGGGAGATGCATGGGGGAAGACATGCTAGCAGAGTGGCAGGGGATGGCTACAGTGGGGCAAGGCTGTAGGTGAGCTGGTGTGTATCAGTGGAGACCAGTCTCCTTGAGCTCTGTGACAGGCACAATCTGCTGTCCAAGGAGCTATGATGATGTTTTCCCCAGGAAAACATCCTGGTTGGGCATCCAAGGCTGCACTACATCAGGTATTTCCAGGCTGGGATCCTAAGAGAGGTCAGCAGACAGGATGGTGCTCAGAAGAGACTTGCCCCATCCCATGAGAACAAATGCTCTGTTCTATCCAGATCTGACCATCACTCAGAGGCTAAAGCCTCCTTTAGCCTTCTCTACAAAGATCATGGCAAACCTTGGGGAATGAGTGTCCCTGGCCATGCCCCACTGCAAGTGTTCCCATGCCAAACTTTTTAGGCTCCATACAGGTTGGAGTCCTGCCCCTGCTATTGTTCTAAGCAGCTCTCCCTGCCAGCTCTAGTGTCTGTGGAAGTCTTGGGGTCTCCTGCGCTAGAATTCCAGAGATTCATTATGAGATTAAGGAACTCCTCACCTGTTCAATATGTCCTTTTCCCAGAAGTTGCTGGAGGCCATGAACAATTGCTGGGGTTCAGCAGCCCTGTACAGGTTTCCCAGTTTCCTCCTCCTTCAGCCCAGTGTCTGCATTCTCCCTCTGTTCACTCTTATTGTAGTCTCTCTGAAGATCTACTTGGAGTTTGCTAGTGTTTCTGATGTCCCTGTCTCTAGCTGGGAGTGTTTCTCCTGGCTGTGTCTAGTCAGCCATCTTGGCTCCCATCTTAGTAGCAGTTTAAAAACTTCTGCATGATGACTTTTCTACTTATCTTTATGTTTTGTGTTTTCTTAAAATTTTTTATTATGGAAAGTTTCAAACATAGACAAAAATAGAGATAAAACTATAAAGAACCTTCACATACCAATCACTCAGTATCAACAATAATCAGCATGGCCAAGCTCATTGATTTTCCCAAACCTAATTCCTCCACCCACTACCCAACCTTACCCAATACTAGTCAACTTTCACTCAGTACAATCTCACCCCCACAACATTACTTTGAAACAAATGACAGGCTTTACATCATATTTTCATAAATACTTTAATGTTTCTTCCAAACTTTAAGACTCTAAAAATTGTCTACAATACCTTTATCCCACCTAAAATTAATAAACAATTCTGTAATATCTAGTTAATTTTCATTTTTTTGATATTATTTTGGTCTTCCTTGTTGGTCAATATTTTGTCTTTTTTCTCTTTTTCTCTATTTCTCTCTCATTGTTTGAATCAAGATCATTTCAATAAGGAGCATGCATTGCAAATGGCTTAAACTGCAACCTTGCACCTCTTTTAATTTTTATTCAGGTTTGTTTTCTTCTAGTTATTTGTTGGATAAACTCTGTTATTTGCTCTGCAAAGGTTCATATCATGAAGGTATTGCTCACTGTATACACGTGATATAAAATATTTATCTTTTCTCTGTATTACCTAGAGATATTATAAAAATCCAAAAGCTTAATTAGATTCAGGGTCACTGCTAAATATTTTGTTTTGTTTGTTTATCTTTTAAAAAATTATTTTTTGAAAGACCTTTAAGGGTAGTTGTATATCCAGCATGAGAAATCCAATTGTTTCTCTTTTTGTGATGGTAGCTGTCATTGATTCTCATCAATTCCTGGATGTATTAATTCAGTAGGACTTGCAAAATTTTAATACTCTAATAAATATATTCATTTATTCTCTGGAATGTTTCTATAATGGAAACATCTCCTCATCTACTACTTGGTTACACAGAGGACAGTTATAGAAAAAAGGCAAAGTCAATGCTAGCTTATTTTTTTTTTACTTACTTTTTTCAAAACGGTGAATTATTTATCTACTATCTTTGATATGGAAACCAATTTGAGTTTTTCTTTTTGAATATCATTAATAAAGTTAGGACATATTTGATATGCTTGAGTCCATTGCAGTTATCTTTATGGTGTCAAATTTTCCAAATTTTGATCGTGGGGCTGTGTACTTTGTCTTTGGTAGCTTGTTAGTGGGAAAAGGCTCATCTTATACATCTTCTGCTTTAGATCTAAAAGTCCTGTTTTGTTTTAAGAGAATACAGTACTTTCAGAGATGGTGGGGCTAACTCATTGTTTTTAGGACTTTTTGATAAACAGAATAGATTTTTTAAGATAAATTAGTTCCTTGGAGGTTGATGTCAGCAAGATGGTGGGATAGTTTGCTACCCACTTGAATTCTCTCCAAACAACAAGATTCTGCACCAACCCATGGAAAAAAGTCTCTTTGTGGGAGTCTTAAGTTTCAGGTAGGAGGCTGTATAACCCCAGTGGAGTCCAAGATGTAGGATGGTGGTTATGAGCATGCAGACTCACACCCAGCTGACAGATCTGCTGATTGTGCTACATGTATCAGATCTAGAAGTGCTTCTGTTCCCCAAATGGCTTGGCTACAGGCCCATTAAGTTTTGAGCGTACTACCAAAACTATCTGCCAAGGGGTCCAGCAGGAATCAGGCACACTGGTGCCCCAGCAGACAGGCTTCTCTGACCACCCATATTGTTCTTGGCAGTGGACCCAAAAGTTATCCTGTAATTCAGCTCCAGTCCTACTCAGCTGTGGTCTCAGTGCAGTATTGCTTGCAAAAGGACTCAAATGAGACTCACCCATCTGCACCTCTGTGACACTGAGACAGTCTAACCAGCCTGTGTCCCACAGCAGATGCTAAAGGGGCCTTGTCTTGGCTCCAGCCCCTCTCTGCCACAGACAGGGAGCTATTCCACCTGTGCTACGGTAGTGCTTAAAGAGGCACCTGTCTGAGCCACAAGGACAGGCATGCCAGTTTTCATGTCTTCTTTAAGCAGATCTTAAAGGAGCTCAGTATCAGCTCTAGGCAAACTCACTATAGTCGGGGGACAGGGATCCCTTGGGAGACTGGCCCATCTGAACCATCAGGACAGGCTTGCTGACCTTCATTTCACAGAAGATCTTGATGAGGCCCTTTCTTGGCTTCAGTACCTTTCTGCCACAGCCCAAGAGTTACCCTGCCCACACAGAACTGCTGAGGACTAGTTCCTCTCAGCCATCAGGACAGGCATGCTGGACTTCTTACTCTAGTATATCCTGAAGGGTCCCTCTCCTAACTCCAGCTTCTCTTGGCTGCTGCCAAGATGTTGTCCCACATGTACATAAAACGTCTCGGAGTTTACCCTAATCAGTACTACTGTGATAGACATGCCAGCTTCTATTCCACAGCAGGTTCTAAAGGGGCCCTGAAGCTCCACTCCATCACCTCTGTAATACAGGCTGAAAGTAATCCAGATTGCACACACACACACACAAAAACTGTTGGGAGGTGCACTCATCTGTGCCAACTGAACAGGCAGCCAGTTTCCATCCCATAGCCAATTTTGAAGGAGTCCTGTCTCAGTTCCAACTCCTCTCTGCCCTGGGGTTATCTCATCTATGTAAAATATTCCTAGAAGACCTATATGGACACACTTGCTGGCATCTATTCCACAGCAGTTACATAAAGGGCCCTGAATCTGAGCTCCAGCCTCTCCTGGCTGCCATCTGTGAGCAATCTTTCCGACATAGGAAAGTGTTGGGAGAACATAGGGAAGAACTGGTGCCACCAGGTTGGACTTATCAATATCAGCCCCACAGCAGAGCCCTGAAGCTCAGCTTTAGCCCCTTCCAGCTGTAGTATTTGAGTGGTTTTGCCTAGCTGTTGTACTGGTAGACATATGCATCTGAATCCCTGTGGCAGGTTTGCCAGCCTCTGTCCCTCAGCATATCCTCAAATAGCCCTAGGTCTTGGTCTGGCTCCTCTCATCAGTAGACTAAGAGTAGGTGAGCCTTTCTGAGGACCTGGAGAGAGGCATGTACAGCAGCACTCCTGCAGGCTGATGCCCTCACTTCAAAGCCACGTTGATCTTGACACATCCTTACAAATTTGCTCCTGTTCCTTTCAACTACAGAATGAGAGCAGGCCTGCCAACTCAGGAACCCACCATAAAGAAACATCTATTCGTGAATCCAAAGACAGGCTTAAAGATTTTTGTCTTGGCTATGGACCTGAAACAACCCCATGTCTCAGTTTCAGCCCATCTCAGCCATGGACTGGGGTAAAATTGTCAGCCCAGGAACTCATCCAGTGATTCAATAGGAACCATTCCAGACATTTGAAAGAAATCACACTCATAAGCACACTTGGCAACCAGACTGTGATCTGTAAACACTGAAGTGTATTCTCATCCCAGTGCCAACCCCACAGACCAAAGTTCTGGAGACGGTCAAGTCCACCCAGGAAACAGATAACACACATGCCTACTAGAGTCCCTGGGAATAGGCCCACCAACTGTGGTCTCTCCCATGAACCCAGCATCAGCTATGTGACCCGTATCAAATACCACTCAACTGCAACCCCATAGACAATTTCATCAGCCCAGATTATGTAACAGAAAAATAATTTCACTTGCCAAAATCAGTCTGTAAGACTCAAAGATTGGTTTACTCCTTCAAATGCACAGACACCAATACAAAACTAAATGACTAACAAAGAATGAGGGTGCTGCAGGAGGACCGCTTGAGCCCAGGAGTCTAAGGCTGCAATGGATTATGATTGTACCACTGCACTCCAGCCTGAGTGACAGAGGGAGACTTTGTCTCAAAAAAAGAAAAGAAATTAAGCAAACATGACATTATCAAGGAAAACACATAAAGTTCAATAATCAATACGCAAAAGAATGGAGCTATAATAATTGCCTAAAAAAGAATTCAAAATAATAATCTTAAAGAAGCTCAATAAGATGCAAGAGCATACAGATAGACATCTACATGAAATTAGGAAAACCACATATAAATAAAATAAAAAGTTATCTAAAGAAATAGAAAACATGAAAAAGAACCTAACAGACATCTTGGAGCTGAAGAATACAATGACAGAACTGAAAAAAATCAATAGAGAATTTCAACAACAGACTTGATTAGACAGAAGACAGAATTAGTAAGCTTGAAGACAAGTCATTTTAAATTAGCCAATTAGAGAAAAAAAAAGACAAAAAAAATTGAAAAAGATTGAAGAAACCAGAAGGGATATGTGAGACACCATCAAACCTAGAAGTATACAAATTATTGGAGTACCCAAAAGAGAAGTGAAGACAAAGGAAAAGAAAGTCTATTTAAAGAAATACTGTCTAAAAGCTTTCCAAGCCTTTGGAGAGATATGGACATACAAATGGAGAAAAAGCATTTGACAAAATTCAACATTTTTTCATTTAAAAAAACTCTCAAAATATTGGGCATAGAAAGATTGTACCTCAATACACTAATGCCATATATGATAAGCCCACAGGTAACATCATGCTCAGTGCTGAAAAGTCAAAATCTCCTATTCTAAAGGTAGCAACAAGCTAAAGATGCTCACTCTCATCACTTCTATTCAGCATAGTACTAAAAGTTCTAGCCAAAGCAATTGGACAAATTAATAATAATAATAACATCCAAATAAAAAGAAAAAAGTAGAATTATCTTTTTGCTGATGACATTTTTTTTATATATATATGTGTATGTATGTATGTATATACTAAATACTCCACCAACAACTATTAAAATTGTTAAATCGATAAGTGTTCAGAGTACATCAACATGAAAATTAGTAGTATTTTTTTAAACTAAGAGCAAACTACCTGAAAAGAAATTAAGTCAATTTTATTCATAATCACATAAAAAATACTTAGGATTATATTTAACCAAGTAGGGAAATGGTCTGTATACTGAAAACTATAATATTGATGAAAGAAATTGTATGTGTAACAATAGATGGAAAAGCATCCTATTTTCATAGGTTGTAAGAATTTATTTTTTAAAATGACCATACTACTCAAATATGTAGATCACATATTCAGCACAATCTGTCAAAATTCCAATGTCATTTTAAATGGAAATAGAAAAAAAATTCTAAATTTTATGTGTATCTACAAAACATCTCAAATAGCCAAAGCAATCATGATCAAAAAGAACAAAGCTGGAGACAACACACTATCTAATTTCAGAATCTCCCACAAAGCTATAGTAATTACAGCAGCATGGTACTGCATTTGTGGTCAGTTAAGCCTGTGCATTTATGATCAATTAATTTTTGACAAAGATGCCAAGAACGTTCAATGGGAAAAGAGGAATCCCTTTAATAAATTGTGTTGGGAAAACTGAACATCCACAAGAATAAAACTGGAAATGTATCTTATACCATATACAAAAATCAACTTAACCTGGATTAAAGACTTTAATGTTAGAACTGGAGCTGTAAAATTACTGGAATAAAACATAGGAGAAATGCTCCACAACTTTGTTCTAGACAAAGATTTCTTGGCTATGACTTCAAAAGCACAGGCAACAAAAGCAAAAATAAACAAGTAGAATGCATCGAACTCAAAAAGCTTTTGTATAGGAAAGGAAACAATTAATTGAGTGAAGAGACAACCCATGGATTGTGAGAAAATATTTGCAACCATAACCATGGTATTTAGATATTAAGGGGTTAATATCCAAAATGTATAAGTAATTCAAACAACTAAATAGCTTGAAACAAACAACCTAATCAAAAAATGTGCAAAGGATCTAGATACTTCTCAAAGACATACAAGGTATATGGAAAAAAAGGTCATCATCACTAATCATCAGGGAAATAAAAAATTAAAATCACAATAAGATATTACCTCATGGTGTTAGAATGGCAATTATCAAAAGGATAAAAGTTAACAAGTTTTGGTTGAGTGATGAAAAAGAAACCCTTGCACACTGTTGGTAGAAATGCAAATTAATACAGTTATTTTGTTAAACAGTATGAAGTTTCCTCAGAAAACTAAAAATAGAATTACTGTATGATTCAGTAATACTACTACTGAGTATATATCCAAAAGTACTGAAAACTGTAGGCAAAAGAGATATCTGCACGCTCATTTTCTTTGCAGCATTATTCACAATAGCTAAGACATGGAAGCAACCTAGGTGTCCATCATCAGTTGAATGGATAAAGAAAATGTGGTATACATACACAGTGGAATTCTAGTCAGCCTTACAAAGAGGGGAAGGAATCCTGCCATTTGAGACAACATGAATGAACCTGGAGAATGTTATGCTAAGTGAAATAAGCTAGGCACAGAAAGACAAATGCTTCATAATCTCAACTATATACCAAGTCTAAAAAAGTTGAACTCACAGAAGTAGGGAGTTGGTTACCAAAGCCTGGGAGAGGTGTGTGGTTAGGGAGAAGAGAGATATTGATCAAAGGGTACATATTTCAGTTAGACAGGAGGAGAAAGCTTTATTTATCTGTTTCACAGAATGGTCGATATAATAAAAAATGCATTGTATATTTCAAAATTGTCAAGAGAGTAAATTTTAAATGTTTTTCCTACAAAAAAATGGTAAGTATATGAGGCGATGGATTTGTGAATTAACCTGACTTAATCATTCCACATTGTAAACATATATCAACACATCACATTGTATTGTATAAACATATAAAAGTATTAATTAATAAAACTAAAAATAATATTTAAAATATAATTTCTGGATTTATAAGAACATTTCTGAGTCTAATTTAGGACTACAGTTAGCCCTTTGTATCTTTGGGTTCTACATCTGCAGATTTAACCAACTATGGATTGAAAATATTTGAAAGTTAATACAAAAAATAACAAATAACAATAAAAAATCATACAAACAAAGAACCAATACAGCATAACAATTATTTGCATAACATTTACATTGTATTAAGTATTATAAAAAATCTATTGTTGGGCATGACAAAGTGACAAGAAGCTAAATGATATAGTGGTCGATTTTGTGCTAACTGTTAGAATGTACTGACCCAGAATTTGTTGAAATCAGTTTACTCATAATTTCACCCATAAAAACTGATGTCTGCATCTACACATGATACATACTGTTTTTCCTTCTGGCAGTACTTTAAATATAGTGGTTTGAACTGATTGAAATCTTAAATTATAATTTTTCTGACACTCACTAGAGCTTTCTGTATTACTCAATTCTGCTAGTTGAATTAAATATTACATAAGACCATATGTTGTTTTCCTAAATTGTTTATTCCAGCCAGACTGGCATCACTGTCCTTAAACACTGTACTCTTTTATTTGTAATTCCAAGCTATGGAATATACTTCACTACTGAGAAAATGTTTCCCATCCTAGTTCTAACTGCTGCCCTCTGTATCATCTTTTATTGGGAATTTGTCAAGAGTCAGGGATTGGGCTGAGTGCCAGAAACTTAGTAAGTCAGGCATATTTGTTGCTTTAGAAAAAGTTAACAATGTGAAAAGTAAGAGATACAACCAAATTCAATATGATTTGGTAACTGTTATGACAGACATATGTTAAAGAAGCACTATGAAAGACTATAGGTTTTACAATGATAATGTTTGGTACAGGAGGTGATAATGTTTGGTTTCAAATAATGAACATAAATTTACTGAAATATTAAATAAACAGGGTAAGGTAGAACAAAAGAAGAGCATGGCATAATAATAGAATGTTAAGTTTTTCAGTTCCAGCATGAAAGAACTAAATTAAAAACTTTAGGTTGAAATCTCAGTTTTATTTTATGGCTGCTTTTATTTGGATATATATATATAGCAATACGAACATTTTCAAAGACCAAAAACCACTGGTCTATATTCTAGTTTTCAAATCTGAAAAGTGAAGAAAATATTACTACAACAGAGTTGGTCTTGTGCTTGACATATGTAGCTCTTAGTCCATATTTCTACCATGCTATTTTTTTGATTTTTAATAATGTATCACTTACTCTTATAATAGTAATTTGTCCACTTAGTTACGAATTCCTTGAATAGTTATGTCCTATTTTCAGTCTATAGGCAGACTATAGGTAAACTTTTATGTTTATACGTGAAACTAGTCTAGGTACAAATAAGACAAAGCTCTTGCTGTCAGTTATACGATGTTATATGAAATAGCAGAAATAAACATAAAGGGTATATAGAAGTAACCTGAGGGAATAATGTATTCTAATTGAACGTGTAGAAAATGGCTTTAATTTAAAAAAGCACCATAATTGACAGTGAAATATTTGACCTTATAACTTTAGGGATAAGCATCAAGAATACTAAAACATTAGTTTAAAAATAACCAATAGTAGACATTTTTATATAGACATTTTAATTTACATTACATAAATATATCTTCCTTATAGAATTCTGGGAAGATGGCTGAGTAGAAAGCCTCAGGAGCCTGTCTCTCTATTTAGAAAAACAATTGTATTAGCAAAATCTGTCTGATGTAATTATTTTGAAACTCTAAAATCTATTGAAAGTTGTAACTTCCAAGAGAAGATTTGAATAATAAATTGCAGTTAATTTCAGCTCTTGGCTCAATAGAAGCTATCTATCCTCTATCCTCAGCCCCATGGTAGGCAGAGGAATTGCAGAAGTAGCTTGTACATAGCTTATGGAAGCTAGAGTAGGCAATAAAGACTCTATCCTCCAAATATCTGGGATCTGTACTCTAATCACTGATTGCTGCTTCTTATTATGGAGGTGCATAAACAGAGGCAGGTAGCCATTGTTGCATGCCCCCGCCCCTGACACACACACTGTTGCAACTCGCACGCCCTCTCGCTAAAGCAGCTTCCAGGGGATCTAATAAAGCAGCTTCCATAGGATTTAAATGGCTAGTGCCTTTTTTTTAACCGTCTTCTCTCTCTCTCTCTCTGTTTTGCCCCATTTGTGAGCTAAACATTAAAGACTATGATATTTAAAAGCCACTGCATTTACAGGGGAAGTTAGAAAGCCACTGTGTATACCCAGGGAAAGAAACAGGCGCATAAAAAAATCTGAGAGGACCCTAAATTTACACCTCAGAAGTGCCTTTGGCATAGAGAAAGCCTACAACAATGAAAGCCAAACCGAACCAAAACCATAGGGAAAGGGGAGCATCTAATTTCCAGAGTTACCACGTTATTACATTTAAATTTCCAGTACTGAGGAAAAAAACTTTTAGGGCATACAAAGAAACAGAAAAGTATCATCTACTCAAGGAAATAAAAATAAACCAAAGGAAACTGTTACTTAGAAAGACCAGAGAGTTCACCTACTAGACGAAGACTTTAAAAAAAACTGTCTTCAAGACGCTCAAATAACTAAATGAAAACATGGAGAAAGTCAAGAAAATAATGTATGAACAAAATGGAAATACGAATGAAAAGAAAGACAGGCTGGGCATGGCAGATCACGCCTGTAATCCCAACACTTTGGGAGGCTCAGGCGGGAGGATTGCTTGAGCTCAGGAGTTCGAGACAAGCCCAGGCAACATGATAATTTTTATCTTTACCACAAATAGAAAAATATTAGCCAGGTCTGGTGGGGGGCACCTGTACTCCCAGCTACTTGGCAGGCTGAGGTGGGAGGACGGTTTCAGCATGGGAGGCAGACCTTGCAGTAAGCCACGATTATGCCATTGCATTCCAGCCTGGGTGACGGAGCCAGAGCCTGTCTCAAAAATTGATCAATCAATCAATAAGAAAGAAAACCTAAAACAAAAATTCTAGAGCTGAAGATACAATAATTGAAATAAAAAATTACTAAAGAAATTGAAATGCAGATTTAACAAGGCAAAAAAAAATCAGTAAACTTGAAGATATAACAATTGAAATTTTTGCATTAAAAGGAGAAAGATTGAAGAAAGGTAAACAGTCTAATGAACCTGTGGGACTTAATCAAGTGGACCAACATGACAAGTATGGCAGTCTCAGAATGAGAAGAGAAAGAAAAGGGTAAAGGGCTTATTTGAGGAAATAATGGCAATAAAACTTCCTAAGTTTAATGAAAGACATAAATATAAACAACCAGGAAACTCAACAAACCTCAAGCAGAATAAACTTAAGCAGACCAGCCCAGAGAACATTATAATTAAACTTTTGAAATCCAAGGCAAAGAGAGAATCTTAAAAGCAAAGAAAATAAAAAAGAGAAGTGATTCATCACATTCAAGGGGTCCTTACTGCAACTAATTAACAATGGTTTTCCTTGGTAATTTTTCACATTGACAGTAGGTTTATTGAGCTGTAACCTCATCATAAGTTAAGGAGCATCTGAACTTATGATGGTTTGACTTATAATTTTTTGGCTTTTTAATGGTTTATTAGGGTATTAGTAACCATAATAAACAGTTAGGGTTGCAGTTTTTCCCTTACATTGCAGTTTTCACTTACAATACTTTTGATTTATAATGGGTTAACCGGATGTAATCCCATCATAAGTTAAGAATAATTTGTAATATTATTAGCAAATATTTCATTGAAAACTTTGAAGGCCAGAAGTCAGTAGGCTGACATGTTCAACAAAAGTACCTTACCCAGCAACTGAAGAAATAAAAATATTAATAAAGGTAAAGACATGGGAAATAATAAAAGCTAAAATTATCATCACAATGCTTTGTAACCTAACTTTTTGTTTTTTATATGATTTAAAAGACTAGTACATTACTAAGCAATTATTAGTCTAAAAGCTAGTGGGTTGTAACTTCAATTTATAACTCTACATTTTGTTTTCTACATTATTTAAGAGATGCATGCATTAAAGCCAACTATTAGTTTATGTTTTGGGACACACAACATACAAATATATAATTTTGTGAAATTAATAGTTGAAAGGAATGAGAAAGGAGTTGAAAGGGACCAGGGTTTTTATTTTATTTGTCATTGAAGGAGAACTGGTATGAATTAAAAACAAAATATTATAACTTAATAATGTTAAATGTAATACCCATTGTAACAACCAAGAAAATAGTTACAGAATGCACATGAAAAAAATGAAAAGGAAAATGAGAATATTTCACTGCAAAAAAATTAATTAAACTGAAAATATAGCAATGCAAGAAATGAGGAACAAATAACGCCATATAGTATGGAGAAAATAAATAGCAAAATACAAAAATAAGTTTCTCCCTATCAGTAATTACTTTGAATGTAAATGGACTAAACTCTAATCAAAAGATAAAGATAGGCAGAATGGATTAAACAAACATGACATAACTGTATGCTATCTACAAGAGACTCACTTTAGATACAAATAGATATATAAATTTTAAAAATGAGAGGATAGAAAATAAAATTCCACTATGCAGCCATAAAAAAGGATGAGTTCATGTACTTTGCAGGGACATGGATGAAGTCAGAAACCATCATTCTCAGCAAACTATCACAAGAACAGCAAACCAAACACCGCATGTTCTCACTCATAAGTGGGTGCTGAACAATGAGAACACATGGACATAGGGAGGAGAACATCACACACCAGGGTGTGTTGGGGTATAGGGGGCGAGGGGAGGGATAATATTAGGAGAAATATGTAATGTAGGTGACGGGTTGATGGGTGCAGCAAACCACCATGGCATGTAATTTCCTATGTAACAAAACTGCACTTTCTGCCCATGTACCCCAGAACTTAATGTATAATAATAAAAAAAAAAGAAAAGAAAATTCCATGCAAGTAGTAACCCAAAAAGAGCAGGAGTGGTTTTAATAATATGAGATAAATATATTTGAAATCATAAAAGTTTACAAAAGACAAAGAAAGACATCACATTTTAAGCAAAGTTTTAATACAGCAAGAAGAGATACTATTTATAAACATTTATACACATAATAACGTACCATCAAAATATGAAGCAAAAATTGATAGACTTGAAAGGAGAAATACTCAGTTCAATAATAATAGCTTGAGACTTTAATAGTTCACTCTTAATATAGATAACCAGACAGATTAGTAAGAAAACAGGATGTACATAACATAATGAAAATGTCATGTACCTCACAAATATATACACGTACCATGTACCTACAAAAATAAAAAATAAAAATAAATAAATACAACAAACTAGCTAGATCTAACATACACACACAGAACACTCTACCAACAACAAAATACATACTTTTCCAGTAAACATGGGGCATTTTCCAATATAAATTATATGCTAAGCCACAAATTAAGTCTCAATATATTTTAAAAGATAGATGTTACACAAAGTATATTCTCTGGCCACAGTGGGATAATGTTAGAAACCAATAATAGAAACAAAACAGGAAAACTTACAAATTTGTGAAAATAACACATTCAGCTAATGAACAAAGAAGACATCACAAGGGAAATTAGAAAGTGATTAGTTATAACTGAAAACAAAAACATAGCATGTTAAAACTTACAGGATGCAGCAAAAGCAGTGCAAAGGAAAAAATTTATTGCTATATGTGCTTACACTAAAAAATAAGAAAGATCTCAAATCTACAACCTGACTTTGCAAATTAAAGAACCAGAAAAAAAGAACAACTTAAACACAAAGCTAGAAGAAATAAGAAAATAATTAAATCAGAGAGAAATGAAAGAAAGTATTGAAAAATGGAGAAAAGCAACGAAACCAAATGCTGGTTCTCAGATAATGTCAACAGAGTAGACAAACCTTTAGCCAGATTGAGAAGACTCAATTTACTAAAATCAGAAATGAAATTGAAACATTATTTTCAATTCTGCAGAAATCAAAAGGAGAATAAAAGAGTACTTAGAACAATTAATGGCAAAAAATATTGTATAGCCGAGATGAAATGAACAAATTCCTAGAAACACAAAACTTACCACAACTGAATCATGAAGAAATATAAAACTCATAACTAATAAGGTGATTTAATCAGGTATAAAAAATCAACAAATGAATGCCCTTGATTTGATGACTTCACTGCTGAATTCTACCAAACAGTTAAAACACAACTAACATCAAACCTTTCAAATTATTCCAAACAATTAAGGAGAAGGAAAAACTTGCTAAATCTATGAACCAGCCTTGTCCTGAAATCAAAGCCAGACAAACATATTAAAAGAAAAGAAAATTATAGGTCAACATTCCTTATGAACATTGATGTAAAACTCCTTTACAAAATACTAGTAAACCAAATTCAAGAACATATTAATAGCATTATTATATTTGTCTGTTTTCATGCTGCTAATAAAGACATATTCAAGACTGGGCAATATACAAAACACAGAGGTTTAATGGGACTTACAGTTCCACATGGCTGGGGAGGCCTCACAATCATGGCAGAAGGAGAGGAGGAGCAAGTTACATCTCACATGGATGAGAGCAGACAAAAAGCTTGTGCAGGGGAACTCCCCCTAATAATAACCATCAGATCTTATGAGACTTACTAGCATGAAAACAGCACAGGAGAGAATTGCCCCCATAATTCAATTACCTCCCAATGGGTTCCTCCCACAACAAGTGGGGATACAAGATGAGATTTGGTTGGGGACACAGCCAAACCACAGCATTCTGTCCCTGGCCCCTCCCAAATCTCATGTCCTCACATTTCAAAACCAATTTTGCCTTCCCAACAGTCCCCCGAAGTCTTAACTCATTTCAGTATTAACTCAATAGACCACAGTCTAACGTCTCATCTGTGACAAGGCAAGTCCCTTCTGCCTATGAGCCTGTAAAATCAAAAGCACGTTAGTTACTTCCTAAATACAATGGGGGTACAGGCATTGGGTAAATAAGGCCATAGGAGAAATTGGCCAAAACAAAGGGGGTACAGGCCCCACACAAGTCCGAAATCCAGCGAGGCAGTCAAATCTTAAATCTCCAAAATGACTTCCTTTCACTCTGTGTCTCACATCCAGGTCACGCTGATACAAGGGGTGGGCTGCCATGGTATTGGGAAGCTCCGCCCCTGTGGTTTTGCAGGGTACAGCCTCTCTCCTGGCTGCTTTCATAGGCTGGCATGGAGTGTCTGCAGCTTTTCCAGGTGAGTGTTGCAAGTTGTCCGTGGATCTACCATTCTGGGATCTGGAGGATGGGTGGCCCTCTTCTCACAGCTCCACTAGGTGGTGCCCCAGTAGGGACTCTGGGTGGGGTCTCGGTCCCTACATTTCCCTTCTGCACTGCCCTAGAATAGGTTCTCCATGAGAGCCCCATCCCTGCAGCAAACTTCTGCCTTGACTTCCAAGTGTTTCCGTGCAACCTCTGAAATCTAGGCAGAGGATCCCAAACTCAAATTCTTGACTTCTGTATACTGGCAGACTCAACACCACATTGAAGCTGTCAAGGCTTGAGGCTGGCACCCTCTGAAGCCATGACCTTTGCTCTACATTGCCCCCTTTCAGCCACTGCTGGAGCAAATGGGATACTGGGCATCACATCCCTAGGCTGCACACAGCACGAGAACTGGGCTTGGCCCATGAAACCACTTTTTCCTCCTAGGTATCTGGTTCTGTAATGGGAAGGGCTGCCATGAAGACATCTGACATGCCCTGGAAATATTTTCCCCGTTGTCTTGAGGATTAACATTCAGCTCCTTATTACTTTTGCAAATTTCTACAGCCAGCTTGGATTTCTGCTCAGAAAATGGAATTTTCTTTTCTATCACATTGTCAGGCTGCAAATTTTCCAAACTTTTATGCTCTGCTTCGCTTATAAAAATGAATGCCTTTAACAGCACTCAAGTCATCTCTCGAATGCTTTGCTGCTTAGAAATATCTTCTGCCAGATACCTTAAATCACCTCTTTCAAGTTCAAAGTTCCACAAATCTCTAGGCAGGGCCACAATTCCACCAGTCTCTTTGCTAAAGCATAACAAGAGTCATCTTAGCTTCAGTTCCCAACAATTTCCTGATCTCCATCTGAGACCACCTTGGCCTGGACTTTATTGTCCATATTGCTATCAGTATTTTGGGCAAAGCCAGTCAACAAGTCTCTAAGAGTTCCAAACTTTCCCACATTTTTTTGTCTTCTTCAGAACCCTACAAACTGTTCCAATCTCTGCCTGTTACCCTGTTCCAAAGTCACTTTCACATTTTTGGGTATCTTTTCAACAGTGCCCCACTCTACTGGTACTGATTTACTGTATTTGTCTGTTTTCATGATGCTAATAAAGACATACTTGAAACCAGGCAATTTACAAAAGGAAGAGGTTTAATGGGACTTACAGTTCCACATGGCTGGGGAGGCCTCCCAATCATGGAGAAAGCAAGGAGGAGCAAGTCACATCTTACATGGATGGCAACAGGCAAAAATAGAGCTTGTGCAGGAAAAGTCTGCCTTATAAAGCCATCAGATCTCGTGAGACTTATTCACTATCATGAGAACAGCATGAGAAAGACCTGCCACCATGATTCAATAAACTCCCACTGTGTTCTGCCCACAGCACGTGGGAATTCAAGATGAGATTTGGGTGGGGACACAGCCAAACCATATCAATTATATATCATATATAGGGATTTATTCCTGAAATGCAAGAATAATTTCATATGCAAAAATAAATCAAAGTAACGCAACACATTAACAGAATGAAGGTGGGGGACAATAGGATCATTTTAATTGATGCAGAGAAACATTTGATAAAGTTCAACAGTCTTTCATGATAAAAAAATTCAATGAATAGGTATAGAACAAATTTACCTCAAAACAATAAAGGCCATATAAAAAAACCCACAGTCAAAATCATACTCAGTGATTAAAGAATGAAAGTGTTTTCTTCAAGAGCAGGAACAAGGCAAAGGTGCCTACTCTTGGCACTTCTCTTCCAGATAGTACCAGAAGTCCTAGCCAGATAAATCAGGCAAGAAAAAGAAATAAAGGACATTCACACTGAAAAGGAAGAAGTAAAATTATCTCTGTTTGAGAATGATATTATCTTATATTTAAAAAACCCTAAAAATTCCACAGGAACCTATTACAACAAATAAACAAATTTAATGAAGTAGCAGGTTACAAAGTCAATGTACAAAAATCACTTGCATTTCTATACATTAGCAATGTACAATATGAAAAAAATTAAGAAAACAATTCCATTTACAATAGCATCAAAAACAATGAAAGTTGTAGGAATTCACTTAACCAGGGAAATGAAAGATTTGTGCAATAAAAATGATAAAACATTGCTGAAACAAATTAACCAGGGTGATGGAAGATTTGTACCATAAAAATAATAAAACATTGCTGAAACAAATTAAAGAATACACAAATAAATAGAAAAATATTCCATAATCATGGATTGAAGACTTAAGATGCCAATACTCCACAAAACAATCTACAGATTCACTGTAATTCTTATCAAAATTACATGTTTGCAGAAATAGAAAAATCCATCTTAAAATTTATACAGAATTTTAAAAGATCCTTAATAGCCATAATTATCTTAAAAAGAAGAACAAAGTTGGAGAACTATAGTTCCTGGCTTCAAAACTTACTACGAAGCTATAGTAACAAAAGAGACTAGTGTTAGTATAATTACAGACATATAGCTCAAGGTAATATAGAACACAGAGTCCAGAAAAAAACCTTTACATATATTATAAAATGATTTTTGAACTAGATATCAAGGTTATCCTAGGGATAATATAGTGTTTTCAACAAATGGTGCTGTGAAAATGGAATATCTTCATGCAAAAGAATGGCATTGGACACTTAACATGATATAAAAAGTAATTCAAAATGGATAAAAATTCTAAATGTAGGAGACATCACACTATAAAACTTTAGGAGAAAACATAGGACAAATGTTTCATGACATTGCATTTGGCAATGAGTTTTTTGGATAAGACATTAGAAGCACAGGCAACAAAAGAAAAAATATAAAAAATAGACTTTATAAAAATTAAAACTTTTGTTCATGAAAGGAGACTATCAATAGCGTGAGAGGACAACTTATGGAATGGGAGAAAATATTTATAGATCACATATTTGACAGGGGGTTAATATTCAGAATATATATAGAACTCCTACAACTCAATAGCCAAAAAAAACAACACAAAACCAAATAACTCAATTCAAAAGTAGGCAAAGGACTTGAAAAGACATTTCTACAAAGAAAATATATGAATGGGCAATAAGCACATGAAAAGATGCTCAGCATCACTGATGATTAGGGAAATGAAATCAACACCACAATGAGATATCATTTCACAGCGATTAGGATGACTATTATAAAAACACACACATACTTAAAATAACAAGTGTTGGTGAGGATGTGGAGAAATTGGAACACTTGTGTCCTGTTAGTGGAAATGTAATATGATAGAGGTGCTGTGGAAGTATGGTGGTTCCTAAAAAAATACAAAATAGAATTTCATATGATCCAGCAATTCTACTTCTGTGTATATACCCCCAAGAATGAAAATCACAGTCTCAAAGAGATTTGTACGCTTATTGTCTGAGTCCCTTTAGGCTGTTATAAAAAAATACCATCAACTGGGTAGCTTATAAACAACAGAAATTTATTTTTCACAATTTTGAGACCTGAGAAGTCTAAGATCAAGGCACTCATCCTTTCAGTGTCACGTGAGGGTTTACTTTCTGTTTCATAGGCAGTGCTTTCTCACTGTGTCCTTACATGGCGGAAGGAGTGAATCAGTTCTCTAGACCTCTTTCACAAAGGGCTCTAATCTATCTGAGAGGTCTTTACCATCATGACCTAATCACCTCCTGGAAACTCCACCTTCTAATGCCATCACATTGTTGATTAGGTTTGCGTATACAAATTTTCAGAGGGTGCAAACATTCAGACCATAGCACTCATGTACATAGGAGCATTATTCATAGTAGTTAAAATGTGGAAGTAATCCAAATACCCATGGACAGATGAATGGATACGTAAAATATGGTATATGCATACAATTTTATTCAGCCTTTATTCAATAGGAAGGAAATTTTGATGTATGCTACAGCATGTATAAACTTTGAGGACTTTATGCTAGCCAGTCACAAAATTCTCTT
This sequence comes from Homo sapiens, assembly GCF_000001405.40. Classification (NCBI taxonomy): domain Eukaryota; kingdom Metazoa; phylum Chordata; class Mammalia; order Primates; family Hominidae; genus Homo; species Homo sapiens. The sequence continues at coordinate 73,091,510 of NC_000012.12, forward strand.
AAATCTAAAATATATCAAAAAATATAAAATTAAAAAATATAAAATTCTCTTAAATATGAAAACACAAAGTATATTAAAAATAATTTTAAAACATTTTCAATATTATTAAATTATAAAGTAATTTTTTCAACATTTAAATATTATGAAGAACTTTAAGACATAGAAAAGTAAGAATTTTTATCTTGTTTTTATTGCTATATACTTTGTCATAGGATATAGTAGATTGTGAATAACCATATATTTAATTAATTGAAATTCTGAATAGTTAATATTATAATTAATATACTCAAACATTCTCAGGGAATTAAAAAATCTATAAGTTCATTAGTGTGTATTTGGGTCTATACTTAAAATTATGTTGATATTTTGTATGCTTTTATTTCATATTAATATAATTATAAATAATATAAAATTATTTATCTTAATATTTAGTAATTTTATATACTACTTTTTCACAAATATGTCTTACTACTCAAACATTAATTCCGCATTTACTTGCAAGGCAAATGCTGTAGCAATTTTTTTTTTCACTTACTGTACTCATCTAATAGTTTGGAGTTGAAAATTAGGCCCTTGGATACATGTGTTGCCAAGTCACATCTCACAAGTAATGGTTTGTGTAACATTTCCTAATCTTACCACTAAGCATTAGAAATGCTAAATCTTTGTTTTTAAATTAAAAAATGGTTTTCAGGAAAAAAAATCTGTAGTTTATTGATACTTTTATCATAGGGAATACATAAAATAAATACTGGAATTTAGAGCTTGTAAATCCTGTGGGCTAGGCTTAAGGGTATACTATTTAATTCCCATATAATTTAAGAGCTAGAAACTTCCCAATCAGCAGAATAAGACAGAGGTCTCCAGAGAATTCTGAGTTATATTTCACTCTCTTCCATTTGGTTATTACTTTTCTCTGTCAGGATATGTGAAGAGAAGCTCATTTATGCTAATATGCCTGTGTATCTAGATTACAATTTGAACAAATTTAATTGCTACATTAGTCAAAACAGAACTTAGAGTTAAAATTTGATGAAGTGAAGAAAAATAATTGGCTTATTAATATTTTTTAAAAAGCAGCAACATTTTTACCTCTGACATTACACTCTGAAGACATAGTAGAGTTATAATTAATACTCAGTTTAATAAAGATGTGCCATTGATGAGTTCACTGATGCTGCATCAGAGTGAAAACTGGCAATCTGTATCTAACTTTGTGCTGATGATACAGTGGGAAATATGTTTGTTTAAAATACCATCTGTTATTTTCAGGCATTTATATGCAACTCTATTGTGTATAGCTAAGTTATCGTGACTGTAACCTAAAAAGAGGCATGTGCTATTGACAACAGTAAAGCCCCCATCTGCCCCTTGATGTTTGTTAAACAGCTGATTTGGGTATATTATTTACTTGAAATGACATTGGTTGCTGATATAGTTTGGCTGTGTCTCCACTCAGATCTCATCTTAAATTCCCATGTGTTGTGGGAGGGACCCAGTGGGAGGTTATTGAATCATGAGGGCAGGTCTTTCCTATGCTGTTCTCATGATATTGAGTAAGTCTCTTGATATTTGATGGTTATTATAAGGGGGAGTTTTCCTGCACAAGTAAGTGAATCATGGGGACAGGTCTTTCCTGTGCTATTCTCATGATATTAAGTCTCCTGATATCTGATGGCTATTATAAGGGAGAGTTTTCCTGCACAAGCTCTCTTCTCTTGTCTGCCACCATGTGAGACGTGCCGTTCACCTTCCATCATGATTGTGAGACCTCCCCAGCCACGTAGAACTGTGAGTCTGATAAACCTCTTTCTTTTGTAAATTGCCCAAACCTGGGTATGTCTTTATCATCTGTGTGAAAACTGAGCAGTAAAGTAAATTGGTACCAGTAGAGTGGAGCGCTACTGAAAACATACCCGAAAATGTGAAAGCAACTTTGGAACTGGGTAACAGGCAGAGGCTGTAACAGTTTGGAGGGCTCAGAAGAAGACAGGAAAATGTGGGAAAGTTTGGAACTTCCTAGAGACTTGTTGAATGGCTTTTACCAAAATGCTGATAATGATATGGACAATGAAATCCAGACTGAGGTAGTCTCAGATGAAGATGAGGAGCTTGTTGGGAACTGGAGCAAAGGTGACTCACTGTTTTAGCAAAGAGACTAGAGGAATTGTGCCCCTGTCCTAGAGATCTGTAGAACTTTGTACTTGAGAGAGATGATTTAGGGTATCCAGCAGAAGATATTTCTAGGCAGCAAACCATTCAAGAGGTGACTTGGGTGCTGTTAAAGGCATTCAGTTTTATAAGGGAAACATAGCATAAAAGTTTGGAAAATCTGCAGCCTGACAATGTGATAGAAAATAAAAACCCATTTTCTGAGGAGAAATTCAAGCCAGTTGCAGAAATTTGCATAAGTAATGAGGAGCCAAATGTTAATCCCCAAACAATGGAGAAAATGTTTCCAAGGCATGTCAGAGACCTTCATGGCAGCCCTTCCCATCACAGGCCTGAACACCTAGGAGAAAATGGTTTTGTGGGCTGGGCCTAGGGTCTCCATGCTGTATGCAAGCCTAGGGACTTGGTGCCCTGCATCCCAGCTGCTCCAGCTGTGACTAAAAGGGGCAAAGGTACAGCTCCAGCTGTTGCTTCAGAAGGTGCAGACACCAAGGCTTGACAGCTTCCACATGATGTTGAGTCTGTGGGTGCACAGAAGTCAAGAATTGGGGTTTGGGAACCTCCACATGGATTTCCGAGGATATATGGAAATGCCTGGATGTCAACGCAGAAGTTTATTCCAGGGATGGGGCCCTCATGGAGAACCTCTGCTAGGGCAGTGCAGAAGGTAAATGTGGGGCCTGAGCCCCCACACAGTGTTCCTACTGGGGCATCAGCTAATGGAGCTGTGAGAAGAGGGCCACCATCCTCCAGAATTTAGAATGGTAGATCCTCTGACAACTTGCACCATGCTGCTGGAAAACCCGTAGACACTCCATGCCAGCCTGTGAAAGAGGCTGGGAGGGAAGCTGTTCCCTGCAAAGTCACAGGGGTGGAGTTTCCCAAGACCATGGTAACCCTTCTCTTTTCTGCTACTATGTGAGTTGTGCCTTTCACCTTCCACCATGATTGTGAGTCCTCTCCAGACATGTAGAACTGTGCGTCCAATAAACCTCTTTCTTTTGTAAATTGCCCAGTCTCGGGTAAGTTTTTATCAGCAGCATGAAAGCAGAGGAATACAGTTGCCTTGAGTGGCTTATTTTTTAATATGTGTTTGCTTCATTAATGTATTAGGCTTTCATGAAAGTCAATATTTTAAATTTAAGTTAAAAGTATCACAGAGGAATGAAATTTTGGCTGATTCGACAGCCCTCAGTTATATAATAGTGACAGAATACCTTTCTTTCATTTGGCTTTAATGCACTTTTCTATAAAGTGAAAACATTAATCTCTAACATATTTTGTGAAGCTATGTTAGTACTGAAAGATGACACAATTATTGAGTTCCCCTGTAGCCACTGTAACATCATTATAGAGATTTGTTTAAGGAGTAACTTAAAAAAGGTGAGTTACTAAAAAACCAATTCAGATTATAATAAATTGTTCATAGCTATACACTTAATTTCTAATCACAGAGTATGGATTATCTGTAAAATTTCTGTCATAGGTGGTTTTTATTTTTTTTATGAGGTGGAGTTTTGCTCTTGTTGCCCAGGCTGGAGTGCAATGGCACGATCTCAGCTCACTGCAACCTTCACCTCCTAGGTTCAAGCGATTCTTCTGCTTCAGCCTCCCGAGTAGCCAGGATTACAGGTGCCCCCCACCACACCCAGCTAATTTTTTGTATTTTTAGTAGATACGGAGTTTCATCATGTTTGCCAAGCTGATCTTGAACTCCTGACCTCAGGTGATCCATCTGAGTGGGCCTCTCAAATCGCTATGATTACTGGCATTAGCCACCATGCTCAGCCTGAATAGGTGGTCTTAATCTTTGTGACTTAGAGTTTTTTCTGCCAAGGATCAGAGTTGCAGTGAAAAACCCACTCAGTTTAGTATTACCTGGTGCTGCAGGAGAAATGCTCTGGCTTCAGCATGCAGTCTATTTTTTTGTGACATGCTCTTAGAAACAGCTTTGCATACAGATGTGTTAGTTCAAGGGAGACCCAACTGGAGATCTACATCTCAGTGTTCCTCAGCACTATCCCTTTGCCAGCACCACTGTCCTTTTCTTGTTGTGCTGGAGTTTCAAAGAAAGGCAAACAAGTTGTGCTTCCCTTGGCAGCTCTCTACACATGAAAGAATAATCTGTCTGCATATTGTTTTATTTAAACATATTTTTGCAAAATACCAGATCATGTTTTCTGTCCATTTATTGTCTCCAACTTCCTTCTCAAAATGAATGTTGTCCTTAATAATTGTATTTAACATATTTTTATAATATGTTTGGTAAAAAGAAATTTTTTCTGTATCTGATTCCAGGTCTATATTTTTATTAATTTTTAAGAGCTTTGCTCTGTTAATAAATTGATGATTGAGCAAAGAAGACTCTATACTACTTAATATATCAAAACGTGGCCAAGAAATTAGCACTCTAAAACACTTTATTTAAATTGTCATTTTTTTTATTGTTCTTTATAGAAGGGGACAAGGGATACTTTTCTTTCTTCCAGCCTTATAGAGAGAGGGAGAGAGTGTGAGATGGACAGAGGAAGAAGAAGGGAGCAAGGAGAGAGAGAATATTTTTAAGATATGGATAGGAAGTAAAAATTTTATGCTGATCTCTTGCTATAAATAGCTGTTTTTCACAGTTGTTTTTCTTTCTTTTCATTTTCAGTATTTATTCTTATATATTTTTCTCCTCTTATTCTTACTAGCCAAATAATTCAATATAGCAAATAATATCAAAATAATAATTAAAAAACCCAAACTTATTAAAAATCCAATTGAAACAAAAGTTACCAGAGACATAGAGATCTTGATTACTTCAAAAGGAGGGGAACTGATTTTTCTCACACATTTCTCTGGTCAGCCTCTCAAATATGAGGTCAGCGAGCAAATATATCACATTTATGCACATGTGAATTCATACAGGCACACAAGAGAAAGGGTCAAGCAGAAAAAAGAACTGAACTGGAAGAGAAATTAATCACCTTAAACATATGTAGGGCTTTCAATAAAACAATGCATTACTTTCTTTTCAAATTTACTAGAAAGTCTCAGAATTGGAAATATCTCTTTCTCAGTCTTTCCATGGTATATATATTTTCTTTCCAATTAGAAAAGGCATTCTTATAATAAAAATGAAATCACCTCTATGATATCATCAAGTTTCATTTTCTACTATTATGAATAGGTCTAGAATGGAGACTGATTAAATTTAGAAATAATCTCTCTTGTTCATTGGTTGAATTTTTATATAACATCATTAAAGTGCTTCATGCTGGAATATGGTTGAGTTTTTTTGGTCAGATAGAATATGGCAATAATAAAAGGCATTTCAACTGTTTAAGAAGTGAACAACCAATTTTCTTGATATCTCCAATGATAATGTTCCTAAGTTCTGAGTTCATTTTCATGGTATAATGCTGTTATTAGAATTAGCATAGAGTTAAAATGTTGAGTAATTTATCTCTATTAGACAAAAGTCATCTTCTATTTATGAAATTCTTATTACTGTTGAGTAACTCACAGTTCTTAAATTAAATTTCCTGATTTGCATTAGGTTTAAAGCTGTAAATAGCTTTTCAGAATATATAATTGAGTTGATATTGAGTTTGTAGACAAGAGAATCCTATTAAAATACGGAGATTTCTATTAACATTTGAGCTATAATTTCAGAGACATCAAGGGAAAACACAAGACAAGCAACATATCAACGAAATGCACAGTATTACTAGGTTCTTTCAAAGAAGAGTCACTAGAGAATCATAAAGGAAAGGGAATCAAATAATAGTACAATTAATGTTTCCCACACAGCCATATTTTATGGGATACTATAGATATAATTGTGTGACAGAAAATACAAAGAGAAAGAATAATTTTAATATTGATCAAAGGAAAATCAAGTCAGCACTTTGCTCGTCAAATACAGAAATACTTGCAACTCTTATTTAACACAATGACTGCAGAGGAAACAAATAAGCTCCTTCACCTGCAAAAGAGATTGTATTGACCAATGAAGTGGGATGGTGATTGAGGTCCTGTTATTTAACAAGAAAATTTGAATTCATTTACATTTTGAAGTTGGGCTGTTAGGAGATTAAGATTTGAATATTCTTTCCCTTTGTAGTCTGTAGCAATATATTTTTAGGGTTCTGATTCTCGAAGCACAATCCACAATTGCTTTTTCCCCCCACTTTCATGTAGATGATTAGCAATTTTTATCCTTACTGCCTTCTCTTTCTATTATCATTTCATCTATTTTCATGATTTCCAACTATCATTTTTATGCAAATTGTCCTCAGATCTGTATCTCCATTTGTGAGCCTTCTTTCCAACCCAAATTTACTCACATGAGTTAATGAAAATTTGCCTTGAGTGCTCTGATGTCACCTCTAATACAAATGGACAAACTGAACTTACTTATCATCTTCCCTTGTGTTTTTTCTTTCTAGTTATAAACCATCATTCTTTTTGTCACTTTTTTTTGCATCTTGGAACCCTGGTTGAATCTTTTCCCTCTCCTTCTTTTCACACTTAATTATTTCCAAGACCTGTCATTTGTAAGTACTATAATATTCACTCATCTTACCCCATTTTCTGTATTTTTAGTGTCATGTGGCTTTTGATTCTGCACTTTAACCATGCCAACACAGACACACTACATGTCTGCAAGGTTTTTGACAGTGACAGAAAATCATACACTACACTCCTTATTTGTCCCTAACCTTTGCCAAGTTTGACTCAGTGGCCAAACATTGTCTTAATCTATAAGATTATTCTTCATTATGCTAGTCCAATATTTTGGTCATGAAAATTGTATCCTGTCTCTCTAGTTCTGTTCCCAGTGTCTGCTGTGTATCTTTCCCAGTACCACCACTTGGTTACATCTGTCAGACAGAACAAACAGGAAAGCACATATCATGTTCATATTTTTCTGGGAGAGTACACCTGCTACCTGAATGTATTTGCCCTCTGGATCCAGCTGCATGAATTTAATGGGGGAAAGAGGGGTCCCAAAGAAAATATCTTATCATACCTTATATATCACTCTACAAACCTGCTCTTTTCCCCTATCATCTGCAACCAAGCTAATTTTAGAAAGCTGGAGAAAATGGTCCAGGTTCAGTAGATCCCTAAAGGAAGGCTTCTTATTTTCCACGAAACATCCTGACTCAGAGCTAATTATAGTACTACTATATTTTTTAAAGGTAATACTAATTTCAGCCCTTTTGGTCAACTCCCTAATATTTACACTTAATTACCCTACAATATAATAATGATCATGCAAACCAGTAAATGTCAATTTAATTTTGCATAAGTTTTGTTTGATTGTGACCGTCAACCTGTGTATGCTCAGAATTTACTGTGTGCTGCTCATTTACCATGGTCATATACACCCAATTTAAGTCAATCAAGGCAAGTTTAGAACAGGCAAATAACTCAAAGTAGTATGACTCAATCAACAAATTTTTCAGGGAAATGTATAAATTTTGTCATAAAAAGAAAAAATATTAGAACGTATGACAGGATTACATAACAATGAACACATTAAATGCAGGTAGCCCTTGACAAAAGAGATTTTAGTTTCAAGGATTATACTCAATTTTGATGATCATTTGTATTTGCTTCACTAATTCAGAATTCTTCATGGGACTCAGTACAATGATGCTTAATTAATCCCAATGATTTTTCAGCCAAATCATCCTTTGAAATTATAATAGATATCCTATTTTTCTGTAGAAATGTAGATGTTCAACAAATATTTGTTGAGTAAGTGGCTGCTCTGACCATTTATCTTCTCAAAGTTATACGTTCTAAAAAGTCTTTTATATGCAGTGTCTTTCAAATTGATTTTGCTATTAATCATTTATAGCATTTAGTATTAGAATAATTTCAATTGATTTTGAAGGAAAAAAATGTTTCAGCATCCAGAATAGTGAGTTGGACTCCAAAACAGTAAGTCATTTAGGCTCATGATGACTTTGGAACCATAAAATGGTGATGGTAATGAACATTAGTTCAAATTAATATTTCATTGTTTTAAACAAATACTGATTAAGAGGCAGGCTCTGGCCTTCACAACAGTGGGTGCAAAATTTTTAAACTGGAAGTGTGTGTGAGCTATTCTATTTAGGGAGATTGCTCAATAGTTTAAATGATAATGTTATCCACTACAATGACATCCAGTTTCTTTTTATAGTGACCATAGCATATGTGAAGGCAGTGTTAATAGTGACAAAGGTGGCTTCATGTGCATACTATCTGTTTAGTTGTGCAAAATTCCATGCTCCCAAAGGGCCCTGTTTAATACTCTGCAGTTACTCTCTTGAAATTCTCAATAATTTTTGAATAAAAAACTATGCATTTCCCTCCCTCCCTCCCTCCTTCCTTCCCTTCCTTCCTTCCTTCCTTCCTTCCTTCCTTCCTTCCTTCCTTCCTTCTTCCTCCCTTTCCTTCTTTCTTTGACAGTGTCTCACTCTGTTACCCAGGCTGGAGTGCAGTGGTGCAATCATGGCTCACTGCAGCCTCAATCTCCTGGACTCAATCCTCCCACCTCAGCCTCATGAGTAGCTAGGACTACAGGCATGAGCCACTATGCCTGGCCCCACTTAATAAATTACTGTGTGGATTTGATAAAATATTGTGTGTAAAATACTCTATATAGCCTTGGTGAATACTTAGTAAGTTATAGCTTGTATTGTTATTCTGTTGCAATATTTTGCTAAATCATTTCAATAGATGTAATATAAAAATGGGTTCATGATTAAATAATTTAGAGATTTAAAAAATTTCTGCAGGATATCTCAGAATTTTGTGTAATATGATGACCTATAAAAAGTAAATGAAGTATGTAGTTTGTCCAAAAATAATTTGATCCTGGGACACATTTTTCTTCCAATGAGCACTGTAAAATAGAAAAGAAATGGTTTCCTAAATTGGAGTGCTCTTCTCAATAAAGTGGACTAGTCAGGTACGGTGGCTCACTCCTGTAATCCCAGAACTTTGGGAGGCCAAGGCGGGTGGATCACTAGGTCAGGAGTTCAAGACCAGCCTGACCAACATGGTGAAACCCCATCTCTACTAAAAATACAAAAATTAGCTGGGTGTGGTGGCATGTTCCTGTAATCCCAGCTACTTGAGAGGCTGAGGCAGGAGAATCACTTGAACCTGGGAGGTGGAGGTTGCAGTGAGCCGAGATTGCACCATTGTACTCCAGCCTGGGTGACAGAGGGAGACTCTGTCTCAAAAAATAAATACATAAATAAATAAATAAAATAAATAAATAAAGTGGACCTAGGGACAGTCTGGATATGTGCAGAAATAGATTTGGTTCTATGGGCAACAGGGCCTATGTGGCAATACATTAACTTGATGCCCCCAGGTGACTTGTAGCTCTGATCCACACTCTCCAGGGATATGAAAGTTTTACTTTTACTCACTCCTAAACAGTCAGCACTTTTCAAAGAACCTGGTTCAGAACAACCATTTTGTAAATTGTCGCACATGCACGGTTTTCAAGACTCCTCTCTCCTTTTGCAAATATCTTGGCAACCTGGCCCGTCCTGGATGACTCCAACATCCCCATGGAGAAACCCTGTTGTTTCACAATGCTTTTATGTCACCTCTCATGAATTTCAACACTTATCACACCTCAGCTGCCATCTTAGAAATAACCAGAAACACACAAACTTCTCTGATTTCAAAAGGGCTGATTCGGTCATTGCACTCCTTAGCCACAACCCCCTATTCTAAGTTGCCTGTGCAGGTTCCATTAACCCCTTTTCCCTTTGGGACCTCTCATCCATTTAAGGCTCTGCTTTCTTCCAGTTTCTCAGTTTGTCATCTTTATTCCTTTCTCTCTCTCTTTAATCCAGTTTAGAGTCCATGTAGCTTTTATAATTTCTACCATATCTTGCTATACTTTAAACTTCCTTGCCCTTTTGTCTTTACACGTATTTATTTTATTTAACAAAATTCCAAACCTGGTTGAACTCAACTATCCACTTTCACTACGTATGCATGCAAATACTCTTTGAAAAGATTAATAGGGGAAACTAATAATACCATAAATCATTATAAATTAATAATTACCTGTTATATTTGGAATCTCTATATTGCTCAAAATTCTTCTTATGTTCCTATGGTCAATTCAGTCCTCCAAATGTGTGAACATTATTTTAAACCTTCTCAATTATTCTCTGACATACCCCATTCCCATTCTGAATTCTAGTTTTCAGCAAATGAATATACTTTCCAGTTTACAGAAAAAAATGAGGGGGAGGGTATTAAATGGAAACTCCAATTTTCTTTCCATAAACTTTTATGACAGTCTTGTATTTGTACCACTCTATCCTCCTTCTTTGGTCTTATAATAAGAAAAGTATTCTCCTTTCTCTCTTGTAGCCATTTCCTCTACCCATACTTCTTTTGTCTCACCTGTTCAGAGTCCAGATTATGTTAATTATGCCTGCTCTCTCCTGTATATTCAAACTTTCCCTGGATCTTCTCATTAAATATATTTAAATTATAGATAATAGCAAACTAACAAAATAAACATAAGAAAATATTAATCCCAAAACACTGGAAAGAATCCTCTCTGCACCCTCAATACTTGTCACTCACCACCCTATTTCCTTCCCACATTTAACAGTGAAACATCCCAGAAGAATTGCTTCTACTAATTGTCTCTACTTGTTATCTTTTTACTCTCACCTCAGTCTGTTCTGAGTTGACTTCCACCCATGTCACTCTGCTAAAACCCTTCACCCTAGGTCATCAATGACTCAATCCCATCAAGCCAATTGTTATTTTTTTATGTCCTATCCTTATTTCTCAGTAGTATTTGACATATTGATAATGCTCACATTGGAATATTCTCTCTGTCTCTCCTTTCTTTTGTGAACCATTACATGCAGTATCCTAACATTTTTTAACTCTAACTGGATGTTACTCTTTCATGCAGTCTCATTATTTTCTGTCTACCAGTTGAACATTGGAGAGCCTCAACACATAAGCCCTTGTTTCAATTATACATAAAACAAACCACCCTGCCAGGCGCGGTGGCTCAAGCCTATAATCCCAGCACTTTGGGAGGCTGAAGCAGGTGGCAGTCCGAGACCAGCCTGACCAACATGGAGAAACCCCGAATCTACTAAAAATACAAAATTAGCCAGGTGTGGTAGCGCATGACTGTAATCCCAGCTACTCGGGAGGCTGAGGCAGGAGAATTGCTTGAGCCCATGAGGCAGAGGTTGTGGTGAGCCGAGATCGCACTACTGCATTCCAGCCTGGGCAACAAGAGTAAAACTCTGTCAAAAACAAACAAACAAACAAAAAACAACAACAACAAAAAACAAACCACCCAAAACTGAAATCCTTAAAACAACATAGTGTGGACCTGTCAAAGCAATGACCTAACGTGGACTTACATTTCCCAGTTTCTTTCCTTTTTTACTAGTTCTCTAAGAAATATGAGTGGAAGTCATAATTATCCTTTCTAAGCCAGGGTTTTAAAGAGTCATTGCAGTTTCTCAATTCTCTCTTTTCTCTCCTGCATGGACACAGCCAACTCTAAGGTCACAGAGATGAGAGAATCACAAAACAGAAAAAAACTTGAGTCTTGAATTATCCCATGCAAAAAGCCATCTAATCAATCACAAATAACTATATTAGAATGTCAAGTAAATGAGAAATAAACATTATGTTAAGCCATTGACATTTTGGGATTTATTTATTTGAATAGATAGTATTATTCTGGATTGTATAGCCTACATAGCCTAAGATGGTTTAGTTTATCTTACCTCTGCAGCTTCACTTTGTGCTATTTACTTGCCTCACTATGTTCTCTTCACTGGACTTAATTTAGTTCTTTGAATGCTTTATTCTATCACAGTGCCTTGGTATGTAATATTCCTCTGCCTAGAATACTTGCTAGTAGCTTTGCATATGTTACTGTATCAGTCCTTTTGAAATGAGAGGTACCAGCAGCAGATACTGTCAGTGTTCTGCCCAGGTCTACCCGAATCTCTTTTTATCAATCTATGTACTTCCTTAACTGCCTTCTCTATGCCTTTACACATAAGAGCCCACAGCTGATAATTTCTTTGCAGAATTGCGCTCTATCTAGTGCTGTCTGTTGCTTTGCCCCAGATCACACATTTGTTTAGCTCTTGCCTCCTTTCCTCTTCTGCTATTCCTACTCCTGAGAGAATCCACTTCCTTAATAAATCACTTGTACAAAAAATCATCTCTGTATCTGTACTCCGATGAATCTGATCTAAAGTAGTGTCTCTCAGATCTCCATCCAAAGGCCACTTACTCAGAACAGACTTTCCTGATGCCCCCAAAAAGATCATGTTCCCTATAATAAGTTGCTTTTGTGACAACCATCATTTAACTATAGGAATTATATTTTTATTGATGCATAATAGTTATACATATTTTCAGGGTACATGTGACATTTTGACACATTCATACACTGTGTAATAATCAAGTCTGGGGCAATTGGGATATCCATTATTTCAAATATGTATCTTTTTGTGCAGGGAACACTTTGGTTATTCTCTTCTAGCTATTTTAAAATATGCAGTAGATTACTGTTAACTATTGTCACCCTACCGAACTATCAAACACTAGATCTTATTTCTTCTATCAAACTGTAATTTCACACCCACTAACCAGCCTATTTTCATTCTCCCCTCCCTTCTATGCTTCTCAGCTTCTAATAACCACTAATCTACTCTATCTTTATGAGATCCACTTTTCAACTCCCATATATAAATGAGAATATGTAATATTTTTCTGCCTACACCAGACTTATTTTGTATAAAATAATGACGTCTAGTTCCATCCATGTTGCTGCAAAAGACAAGACTTCATTATTTTTTGAGATAAATAATATTCCATTATGTATAAATCTCACTTTTTTATCCATTCATCCATTTATGAAAAATTACATTGATTTCATATTTTTCTGTCATAAATAGTGCTGCAATAATCGTGGGAGAGCACATATATCTTTGATATACAGATTTCCTTTCTTTTGAATATATACTCAGTCATAGGATTGTTGGACCATATGGCAGTTCTATTTTTAATTTTTTGAAGAATCTCCATACTATTTTCCATAGTGGCTATATTAATTTACATCCCCACCAACAGTGTATAACGATTTTCCTTTCTCCACATCCTCACCAGCCTCCATTATTTTTTGTCTTTTTGTTACAAGCCATTTTAACTTGGGTGAGATGATACTTCATTGTGATTTTGAATTGTATTTCTGTAACGATTAGTGATATTAAGCATTTTTCATGTACCTGTTGACCATTTGTATGTCTTCTTTTGAGAAATGTCTATTGAAATATTTTGTTCATTCTCTAAATTAAATTATTTGTTTGGTTCCTTCTTTGCTATTGAGTTGTTTGAATTTCTTGTATATTCTGGTTATTAATCCCTTTTCAGATAGATACTTTACAGTATTCTCTCTCATTCTGTAGATTGTCTCTTCACTACATTGATCATTTCCTTCGCTTTCAAGAAGCTGCTTTGCTTCATGTAAGTCCATTTGTCTGTTATAAATGGTGCTAGGAAAACTGGATATACACAGAATGATGAAACTAGAACCCTATCTCTCATCCTTACAAAAATCAAACAAAAATGGATTAGATACTTAAAACTAAGACCAGAAAGTATGAAACTACTAGAAGGAATCTTTGGGGAAATGCTTCAGGGCATTAATCTGTGCAAAGATTTTCTTGAATATGACATCAAAAACAAAGGTAACGAAAGCAAATATAGGGAGTATTTTGTGTTTTCTTAGTGCCTGGCATGGAGTTGACTCTGTAAGTACGAATGATACATGGAGCAAAGAAAGAAGAAAAAAATGGACTAAAAGAGAAAGAATAGAGCTCCCATTAGTGATGACATAAAATCTAACTTTATTAGAAAAATAAATTTATTATAGTATTTTGAATGTATTTTCTAATTTCTCTATTTCAATTGGAGAATCAAACTGCATTACAGTCAACTCAATACATTGCAGAAAATAGAGAAATTATTTTTGGGGGGTGTTTATCATGTCAACTGTTTTATTAATTACTAACACCCAGTTGTTTTTTCCCCCAGTAGATCAAATAAGGATATTCATAAACTGTAAACAAGAGGCACCTGGATTAGTTCTCTATATGAATATTTTCTATCAGTAGTTATTGGTTGAGTTCTATTTTGCACCAGGTAACCTCTTTGCCATTGTAAATACAGGAGTGACATCAACATGCATAGTTATTAGTTTTATGAGTCCTTAAACATAGCAGTAATTTGAAAAGAATCATATGAATTCTTGATTATAATTGTTCTAAGTTCCTAAATATGTTGTAATTGTATACATATTAGGAGTCCTTAAAAGTACATGTCCTTCCAATGTTTTCCTGGCCTTGGTTAGAATGATATGAGGGCTTTCTAATTTTCCATTTTGCTGTTTTTGTGCCCCTGACCCTTTTCAGGGCAGCCTCCAAGAATTACTTTTGAAAACTAGAAATGTCTCTGGGTCAGTTTAGACTCTCCCAATCCCCTGATGAGAAGGGATTAGAAAGAGATTTATGTTTGTTCATAGGGCACTTCAGGGAACAGTTAAGACTCCTAATGGAAAGTAAAGTAGAAATGTTTTGGAGGCATGCACTCACCTGAAGACCTAGGAGAGCCACCTGAGAATGCAAAGGAAGTGGGAGGCTAGGCGAGGTTGATTGTACTTTGCAGAGCTGGGACAGGAGGACTGGGCTGCCCAAGACCTTGCATAATTTGAAAAGAGTAGGGCAGCCTGACTGAGCAACAGAAATGCTATACTGGCGAGCAGAGTTTGCCTAAGGGGGTGTTAAGCAGCTGAGCAAGGAAATCTGCTGTGACTGGAGACTGCAATGTGGGCAATCCACCTGTGCATAATCAATTTTTGGTTGATGACTGTATATGCCTCTGGGTGTTTTTGAAATGCTCATTCTTACCAGGATAGGGTCTGATAATAATTAGTTGTTTTATAATCTGCTGCATCTCTCGAAAGTGATTTTTATTAAGCAGAATTACCTTCTGTTTTCAGCTAGCAACTCAGGCTTACATGTTACTTATTTGTAATTATTCTAGATCTTTTCTTTTTTTACCTAGGCAACTCATAATTATATTGCAGTCATTTATATTAATAATGATCATCATGTAAAGCTACAAACACTCTTGCAAGGTATTACAATGTCAATAGCTTCCAATTCTTAGGGAAAATGATTTGGTTTATAGGGATTACTATTTCTGGGGGGCTTGCATCTATTTCACGGGTATAGAAGTGAAACTTGCCAAAGTTATTCAAGTAGAGATTTCAGAAGCTTCACCTTACATTCTATATGAGTTAATAAAATTATTCAAACAGGAAGATGTAGCTCATAAAAGAGACCTTGTTTATTTTAGAACTGTGTATAAAGCATGCCATAGTCCTGTACAGGTAAGAACAAAGAAAATCATCCCATTTTAATTTTTCAAAAAAAATCCACACTGAGACTGTTTCTATACAGGAAATAAAATGAAATCTCCTGAACTACTCTGAAATATGCAAATAATTTGAATGGATGTAGAACATTTTGAGCTGGTCTAAACACACAGTCACTTATTTCTGTAGCTGTAAAAGTTTCAATTAAATATAAAACTACCAGCAGTAAAATAACATTTTGGAAAATGTGTAGGGACAATATGTATTTGTTTAAATGGTTCAGTGTGGAAACATATTTCCCATATAGTATAGATTATAGTGCTGTATGGTTTGATCCTAAGAAGATAAAGGTCAAGTAAAATAGAATAAGGTCAGATTTTTGCCTACAATCTATTGAACATAATTTTTGCCTTCTGAAGGTGGAGTAATGTGTAGAAGCAACTGAAAAGGAACAGATGATGAATCAGTTTGAATGTCTGGAAAATCATCTGAGCAAATTCCAGCAAAAGCTGGAAGATCCAGAGAGCAGAGGGAGATAGCATCCTGAAATAGGGTAAAGGGAAAGGAATCTGGATGCTGAAATGTGACTATGCATCTCTGATGGTATGTCTCTTCTTGTGTGACTTTTCTCACTATCTTTCTGATAGCAAATATTTCACCATTATATTTAGTGAATGGCAAAACTTCAACCAGAAACCCAAACTTACATTGTATGTGTGTGTGTGTGTGTATATATATATACACAATATATATGTATATATAATATATATTTATATAAATATATATTATATATAATATATATTTATATAAATATATATGTATATATAATATATATTTATATATTATATAATATTTATATATAGTATATATATAATAAAAATATATGTGTGTGTGTGTATATATATATATAATGTGTATATACATATATATATATTTTTTGAGACACAGTCTCGCCCTGTCACCCAGGCTGGAATGTAGTGGTGTGATCTCGGCTTACTGTAACCTCCACCTCCCGAGTTCAAGCGATTCTCCTGCCTCAGCCTCCCAAGTAGCTGGGACTACAGACACACGCCATTACAGCCAGCTAATTTTTGTAATTTTAGTAGAAACAGGGTTTCACCATGTTTGTCAGGATCTCTTGACCTTGTGATCCACCTGCCTTGGCCTCCCAAAAGTGCTAGGATTACAGCCGTGAGCCACCGTGCCTGGCCCCATATTGTATCATTTTAATGAACTTTTTAAACAAATACATGTATGAGTTATAGATAAATATGACTTCATTATACAGAAGATATGGCTGATGCCCTTCTTAGAATTAGAAAGATTTAAGTACCAAGAAGAGAGGAAGACAGCAGAACAAGTGGGATCTCTGCCAGGCAGACGGAGAAAGATAAATTAAGCGGCACGCTACAATACGTTTAGGAATTGAAGAATTTTTTTAGATTCATAATTTTTAAAAGAACAGATCTAAGAGATCATGTAATACTTTTACAGACACTCTGTCTTCTCATTAGTTATTTGCATTGAACTTCCTTAATGTACAAAGTGCTTTCTTATGAATTATCTAATTTTAGCTTAAAAACAATACCATCAAGAATAGCTTATTTGCCTTGATTTTATGGGTCAAAACATGAGACTTAAGTGTTAAAGGACTTTTCAAAGATCACACACTAAGCATTTGATCCAGGCAAGATATTATATGTGTAGGTGTGTGTTTGTGAGTTATTTTTTACCAAGAAAAATGTTTACATGTTTATATATTTTACCTTATTATGAGACATAAAGAAGAATTTCATTGATTTTCTTTTTCCCTTCCATTTTGTAAAAAGAAAGGGAGGAAGTTTCAAATTAATAAAATTGAGACACCATAAAAATTTCATGTTTAAAGACTATATACAAGTTACATACCCTGGGGAAGTTTTCATTTCATTATACTATTATTATATCTTGTTCCTAAATAAAAATATACCTTAGCCTTTAATATTTTAATATCCTTTCTTTAATGCCTTGAATGTGTACATATCCATTAGCATGTACATATATATTCATATGCGTGTGTACTTTGGGATAAATGTTAACAATAACATCACCAACAAAACTAATAACAAATGCTACTAATTATTGCACTCATACAATGTGCCAAACTTTGTGTAATTAAAGAATCTCATTTAATCTTATAAAAACTATAGGGACAGCTATTTTCCTTACATGACAGGTGGCAAATCTAAGGCTCAGAAAGTTTGAACAACTTGGTGTTATTGGGATTTATCAATCAAGTGTGCAGTATAAACTAATGAGATTCTAAAACGCAGAATGCAAAATTAATTGTTGATCTACATAACACAGAAAACATTTATTAGACCATGTGTGGTGTATGGTAGATACTGTTGTTTGAAAAGTGATCATTCATCATATATAAAAACACTCTTTAAAACTTTCTTTTCCTAACAAGTGCCAGGTTGACAGATGACAGTGCTGGTAAGGGGGAGAATGTAATACACTGTGTTTTGTGTTTTAAGGGCACTAGCAAGTCCTCCAAAGGTCAGGTATTGAACATGACTACAATAATTCTAAACCAGATTTTGGAGCCATCAAATCACATAAAACTCAGCCATATGAAAACATGCTTTCAGCCACAGGGAGACATTTGATTGCCTTCTTTCTAAATCCCTACACATATCACACTGTCAAAGCGTAGAACAATTGAGGATTAATACCAAACAGCTACACCTACATCTGTATCACTGGAAATAGAGATGCTGACTTTTTTTCCCTAGGGTATCAAATTCTTCCTATTTTCTGCCAGTCTTTTTGGGCCCTTTTCCCATTCTCATTCAATACTTTACCTTCTGATGTTACACTGTGATCTTCCGGAGCAACTATTAATGCTGCTCAGAATTGGGAAGCAGTTCTTTTATCTTTACCTTTATTTCTGTGTCTTCTGAGACACATTTAATATCTCCATGGGCTTTAAAACTCAGAAATCAGAATCTACTTCCTAAAGTAAATTCTTCATATTGCCAGACTGAGTTTTCTAAGGACTATTAAGAAGTACTTTTTCTCATATAACAGTGCAATGTTATCAATTTCTAATGTCAGTTTCAGCCTTTATATTTGTCTAATATTTCTACTCCTCAATATCTATTTTTCTTTATTCACAGTTTTTTCCATCAGCTGAATTTATGTTTTTCTCAAATATTACATTTTAAACTTTCTATTTCTTGATAATTTTAACGTATTACATATTGAATTTTACCTTTTTCTTATAATTTTAATAGAAACACTTAGGTTTTTTTCAAAATAATTTTTGGACACTGTCTTCATATCATATATTTTATAAAGTGAATTGTGGAAAGCTTTTATTTGTAAAGGAGAATTTTCTAGTTCCAGTACTAATCCTGAAAGATCTGGAACAGCAATCCCTTTATCCCTAAGTATTACTCTTGGAGATGAACAAGTCCTATAGAAATTGCTGTCTGACTGAAAGATGAGGCATTAGAAAGGAGGAAAATAGTTTGCAGACTAAAAGAAGGCAAAGGAACAGAACATGAAGGTGAAAAATGCAAAGAATTACTGATGTGTTGGGGAAAGAAAGAGAATAGAGGAAAACTGTCCATATGGAATGAAAAGGGTGTTGTGGATTTTTATCCCAAATTATGTCAAACATTGTACTATCGCTGTGCTATTCTTTACATTCTATCATCACTCTCTTTTCTGAACTTTGGGGTAAGGACATGGTATAGATTTTCACTTTCCTTTACCATTTTTTTTCTGCTCTAACTCTACCCTCATCTCCTTTTGCATTTGACTGCACTTGACACAAAACACCACAAGCTTCTTGAAACCTTGATTTGTAATTGGGGTCCAGCAGCTGCTCTTTGGATCCATCAACATGTCAAGATGTCAGGTGCTGAGACTGGTATGAGCGTATTGCTTGTGGCAGTTTTGATCATTGTAGAAAAGCGTGAACATTTTCCATCAGTATATATTGCCAGTTGTATTGACTTTGGAGCAATAATTATATAACACTGCCTTATTAACTTATTGTAGAGAACAGAATTTGACTAAAATGTATAGTGATCATACTTTTGTATTTTGCAAATATAATAGAAAAAAAAGAATAAATTATACATATGTTGTTGTATGGTGATTCGGAAAAACTGCAGGTGCTTGTCAGTTTTAATTACTTAGGAAATTTACTTATTACTGTTGACTAAAAAGAAAAGCATATGTATGAAAAAAATTATGGGAACTAAATTGGGATATGTGTCTCCAAATCTGGAAATTATATTCTTAGTAAATTTTCATGACTATACTGAAAATATATCTGAAATTTGTTTGAAAGTCAAATATCTAAAATTTGCATGTAATAATGTGGATTAATAATCAAAGACCTAAAAAATCTTATACAACCTCAAATTTTGGTTCATTAGATGCTGTCTCCCTTGGGCCCTGCAACCTTCATAAGCAACCAGGAGCTTCAAGGCAGGAAAAAAGTCAAGGCATCATTTTATTGCCAAAGTATCTTGGAATATATAAGTAGGCATTTTCTTTTCACACTGGCTCTATTCTTGTTGTCTTCACAGGGTTTAAGGTAGAAAGTCTTGTTTTTCCCTGTCTTTAAATGTCTATGCCTAAAGCGTTAATACCTGCCACCACAACACCAATGGGTAGGGTCTTAAGGAGTCTTTACTCATATAACCACTCTCATCATGCTGCTTTCATTGTAGGATGCTGACCCTTAGATTGTTTTCTTTAGCTACATAGAGAAGTAAAGCTCCAGCTAGTCCTGGCTCTTGGAAGTTATACTTCATTTCCTGTTCTTCTCTAAGCTTCAACTCCTCTGGTTTATATAACATCAGAAACAAAATAATTCCTTCATAATTTGTCAAGTGTCAGCATTACTAGAAATGCATAAAATTTATCTTAGACCACTTTCAGCAGTAACTCCCTTCTCCCAGGGAGTAAGAACTGAAAAATTCATACTGATAATTAGTCCATAATCAAAGATTTCATTGCTGAGAAGCAAAACAGTACAAGAGAGAATCGATCATCACCTGAAGTCTAAGGTCAAGACTTCTGCCCTTTGCTCTGGGTGATTCAGATTTGTATCACCAGACAAACAAGTCTAGGATTTGCAACCTCACATATCACATGAATTTGCAGTATTTTGCCAGTATTTCACAATATAGATTCAGAAATGAGAATCAGTTACCTAAGTAATTATTTAGAAATATTTTAACTACCAACTGTAATCTCGTTGTTAATCAAGTTTGAGCTATTTATATATAAATTTAAGAAACCACTGCTATATAGTCCCGACATTTGTATCTTTAGAAAAGTTTTGTGGAAAAGACTTAGGAATATTACTTGAGCAAAAAATGAGACTCTTTTCCCCCCACCTCAGCAAAAGCAGTTGTTTCCATGGACTTCCTAAGAGAAAGTATTGATTTATAGTATCTTCGGTCAGTTTGTTTGTGTGCAAAGGGGAAGTCAATCAAATATTTAGTCAACTCTCCTCTGGGAATTATGATAGAAGTGTACTACCCAGAGAGACAGAGAGAAAAGATTATATCCTGAAGATTTGCAAACACTACCAACTATCTTTTGTTTTAAATCAAGGGTTCAGAAAAAAACCTTTAACTTTTCACAATAATTGTCTTTGGAGGGTTCCAAAGGAGCTATAATATAAGAACTGTTAGTAATAAAGCTTACTCTTTTAAGTAATAATAAAGGCATTTTTATAAATAAATAAAATAAGATTAATATTTTAGTCATAACTTAAGTTTCCTTAATTGTATTTTACTGGAAATTATTTATTTTATTGAATTTCTATATAAATATGAAATTATATAATTGCATACATGGTGACTCGAGTGAAAGTAATATTAATCTATCAGAACTGCAGTGTAGACATATATTATGTGCCTTATGAAAGGTACATTGAGAGCACAGAGTATTTATTTTAAGAATGGCAGTGTACACCTTTACTAAAATGGAATGCCATGTTTTGAAATATAGCCTTTTATTTCACTGTGGTAGACATGCCCTACACACATTTTATACGATGTTTTTGTACCCTTATTGTGCCATTGCTATCACTTTGTAGATGGAAACAGTAGTGTGGATGGAGAGAGAATTCAAAATTTCAGCCCCTGATCCTAAACTATATCTTGAAATAGTCTTCTTAAATATTGTGTGCATGTTGAAAGTGCATAGCATTGAAAATGAGACAATCCTAAAAACATCATGCAAATTCACATACATAATGAAATGAGTAGGTATTTCCTTTCTTAAAAAAAAAAGTATATTCCAAGTTTCCAGTTACAAAACATTTTTGTCTCCCCTAAAAAGAAGTTCCTCTTATCTCATATATCTGGGTTCACTTGCTTAGTTAATGGTTGGCATGCACGGTTTCTAAATTGCTAATGATGAAATATTGTTTCACGAAATGAAGTTTGTTTTTGGAAGTGCTTACCTACCAGCTAATTTTGTAGAAAAAAATTATTTTTGTAGAAAAGAGTAATAAAATGTTAGCATTTTATCTATTTTAAATATTTACGTATTATAGTGACATAGTGGGGATCATATGATAAAATAGCACTGTGTGCTGGAGACCTGTTTGGAGAGCTGGATGATTTGGTGGTTAGTGTGCTGCAGTGGCATGTGTTCAGGTAGCCCTTTTCATCTGCATCTCATGTAGCTGGAAGAGAACAGCCTTCATTGACTTACCCATGCTCTCTTCACCCCCTTTGTTCCAGCTACACGGCAAGAATATTCAGTAACAAAGAACAAAAAGTCGTCTTGCCTTATCACCTGATAGAACTGTGTAAGCTCCAGTGTTCTGCAAATTTTCATGTGTATTTGAATTACCTGGGGATCTTGTTACAAGGCAGATTTTGATTCAAAAGATCTGGGTGGGGTATTGCCTTCATTTCTAGTAAGTTCTTGAGAAGCAAGGAGCTAGACAGTAAGAGTGCCTTATTTTAACTGCAGCTAGAACTGTCAACCCACTTGAATAGTTGTGAGGGTGTGGATAGATGCTGCTGTTGAGTAAAAAGGTAAAAAGACGTTTTTGAATAGTAGAATACATACGGAGATAGAAAATTAAGAAATTAAGAGATAAGGGGGGAGCCAGGAAGAATGAAGTTCACAGTGACAGAGCAGGAATTAGAATTGGAGAATAGGAAGAAACTGGTCTTTAGAAATGTGTGGAAAATCCATAGTACATCTGTTAATATACCTATGTGGAAAACCCATAGTCCACCTGCTAAAGCTGTAGCCAGTCATCTGGACTGTAGGGGAAGACTGATGATCAAAATAGAGCAGCAATAATAATCTTAATAAACTGTGAAGCATAGTATTGGCAAAGAGCTTCCTTTTGAATTGGTTCAACTGCCTAGGAGCCATTGACTCTGCTAGTTTAGTGTTGAGGATATGCATTTTAAACCCAGTAGATCCAAATATAAGAAGTTTTTTGACATTTTATAAAACTTTGTTGCATAGGTGTGGCTTAATACCCAAGCCAGTTGTCTTTGTCAGTAAATACATTTTTTTCACAGATATTGAAGTACCAAGGGTTAGGACATTTCACCAAAATGTGTTTACAGTCAACTAAACCTGAAATTATCGGATATAAACTACACGGACCTAGGAAGAATTTCAAATGATTCAACTGTCAATAAAGGCCTTTTTGTAATTATGAGAATAGAATACAATTGTAAGCATTCAATTTTCCAGACAAGACAACTGCTTTTTTTTTAATCAATAAAGCACCTATATTTTTCTTTCTTTTAAATGCTCAGCTTTCCTCTTGACATTTTAAAAGTGAGTTTGGTGCTTATGATTGATAATAATAACTTTTACATTAGCCATCTTTCATCACTTGATTTGTCTATTTTCTTATGGTTTTATCCTTTGATCTCATTTAGCATTTGGGTGCGTTTTATTGATCTTATCCTGTGGTCAATTTGCATTCAAAGTTTTCATTCAGTTTAGTAGAAGCACTTGTAATATTGAATATTAAGGAGGAGTTTCAGGGGCCAATGTATGAGTTATCTGTTCAAACTGCCTACAACAAATCCATAGAGGATTAAGTGGAAATTATTCACATATACTAATTAAAAGTTATTTAAATACTTAATGATTTTGAGAAAATATTGCTAAAATGAAATCTTTTTACAATATATTTCTAGGCCCAGCTCTATGAGAAGGAGATCTTTGTGCTCATTATGCACAGTGAGGGAGAAGAAATATAGGAGGAAGTATCAGTCCCTCTCTACATGCAGTCCATACTTTCATTTCTATTATACTTTCAGCTGTATTTAAAATTCAACCACAGGTTGAGGAATGTTGCCATTTCCTCCATTTTTCATCTTGTCAAATACATTGTATCAAATTTATTTAATTTTTAAAGATACTCACCCAGTTTAATAACTAATGTGTATAACCAGCATATACATCATGGCAATAGAATAGAATTTAATTTTACCAAGACAACATCATATATATCAAGGAGTTTTTCTGCTGAAAAATCCTGCTGACCCAAATGTATTTTAATACAGGATTTCACCTCATATTTTGGTATTATTGTGTTAAAAGATGAAATGGTGTCTTGGAAGAAATGCATCCAGAATTGATCTGAACTCTCTCTCTCTCTCTCTCAAGCTAGAGGTAATTCAGTGACAAGCCTTTTAGAGAAATGATGAATGTAACGTAATGTTTCTGAACATGAATTTTTGTTGTGGTGGGGGAAACCTAATTAACCAACCTAAACTACTTCTATTCAAACACTCCAGAAAGATAACACCAGTCACAAACGTTAAATATCTGTTTTGCTTTACTTTATTTACTCATGCATTTATTCAACACTTGTTATGGAAGTTTATCTAAAACTAGGTCCAAAGTAATTTAGGCAGGCATACCCTATGTGAAAGATTCTGTAGAAAGCTTTAAATCATAGTGACAGCCATTAGAACTTGCTTAAAGAAAATGCTTTTCTGAATAATTCCGGGGAAACAATAGAAAAAAGAACTGTATCTGTAAGGTCTCCGTAAGAAATTACTCAGCATTTAGATATGTGCTCGTTTTAAAGAATGGAATTCAATGTATTGCTTTCTACATTTTGTGCATTTTTAAAAAAGAGATTATTGTTATTGAGCATTTATTCTGTGTCAGGTACACATCTTAGCGTTTGAATGTTATATTCAAATCTCAAAATTTTCGAGTTAAACAAACTACATTGCAACTCACATTTTACTTTTGAGAAAATAGTAGCACAGAGAGATAAACTAATTTGCCTAACATCATATAAGTGGTTAGTGGCAGAGATGAGCTTTAAACGCCGGCAGTCTAATTCCAGAACGCAGGTTTCTACCTTCTGTTCCATTTTCTTTCCACGCATGTCACTGATTTCTGTGTAAAATTGTGAACGTTGTTTTTTTCTGGGTGTCACAGGTAAGCAAAAATCATTCCAAATTGTTGATGGAGACTTCTAGAGTTAGATCTTCTATAAATTTATAAATTTAGAGATATATTTAAACAAGTAATTTAATTACATATTGCTTGAATATTACAAATGTTTATAAAATAATGGCTTTTTGCAATACATACATTTAATAGTCAAGTTCTGCTATTTTAGGTTTAAGGATGGTGATAAACTGGTTTACTTTAGAGACGTGGAGGATAAATGTATAATGTTATAGAAACAATCTCAATGTTTTATCCTGAAAAACATCCAGAACCCCATTTAATTTTGGAATATATATTTTTAAAGTTGTATCAAATTGAAAGACAAAAGTAGTTTAGAACATTAATAGTTCATTTTTTTAAATGTTTATTATAACACTTTCTTCAAATTAGATGCTCTAACGTTTAAGACAAACGTTGATGGGAAAAAAAGGTATTTATTGTCTTAAGATTTCCTTAAAGAGTTAAATGTGTATGTAACTTTCAGGATGAGGAGTTGTATGTGAAACAGTTGAGACTGACAAACACCTGAGACTTGATCTGGGACATCTTAAAGAAAAATGCTGTGTTCTAGAAAAAAAAGTTAAGTATTTTCAGGCTTAGCATTGTCCAAAACAAGAGCAAGTTAATGTCAAAAACTCTTTGCAATTTGCGCATTCATTTATTTTTATTTATAATCATGGAACATGATTTCCCTTGCAGAGAAAATAGGACAATGACTCACTTAACTCACTGAGTAGTTCACCTGAGAAACTTAGGGAGAATGGTTTTATATCTAACTTTGGGTAAAATGATATAGTTTCAATGTTTATTTGTAATAGGGCAATACAAAATTACTGTAACTGGCTGGGAAAATTCCAGATTCCTTAGATGGCTTCCCTCATGCAACTTCTACTCTGACCTCACAAAAATAACTAGTTAGTTCTCCATATAAACAGTTCCACATCCATGAATTAAACCAACTAGATATAGAAAATATTCCTAATAAATAAATAAATAATAACAATACAACAGTAAAAAAAAAACAAAAAAAATAATATGGCAGCTATTCACACAGCACTTACATTGTATTAGTTATTATCAGTAATCTAGAAATTATGTGAAGTACCTGGGGGATATGCCATAAGGGGCATGGATCTCTGCAGATTTTAATATTCGTGGGGATCCTAGAACTAATTCCCAATGAATATGGAGAGATGACTGTATTCCTTTTGCCTTGAAATGCACATGTTGATACCTTGTTGTTTTTGATTGTGGTAGGCCTCAGTCATGTTTTTAAAGTTCAATTGAAAGTCTTCATTGTATGTAAAATCTTTGTTGATGAATTATTTTAGCAGAAATTATTGTTCTATTTCAGAATATCCAAACTCTGCTCAAATCTTTTACTACAACACTAATTTCACGTTGTCTTTCACAGTTCTTAGTTGTTTATGGGTGTACAACATCATTTTTAAATGTTTACAGTGTGACCCATAAGTGACTGCTAAATTTCCTGCTTATGAAAATTATAATATCCTTTCTAGAATTTTTTATTAAAAAGTTTGAAATGTTACCTACGTCTACACTTCCCAGTTATTTTTATTTTTTTAATTGTACTAACATTGTATACACATATACATAAATATAATAAAATGGATATTATATAGAATATAATATTTTTATCACTTACCATAGTTGTATATTTCTTTATCTTTAAATATTTGTATTAAATATAATCAATCTCCAACAAATTAAATTATTGCTTTATAATTTGTAAATAAAATCAATTGCATTTAGTTATGCATAAATCATTTTGCACACTTTTGCAGTTTCCCAAGATTGGTCCTACATATGAAAGTTAAAATTTTGAAATTTATTGCCTTTTTGTCCTAAACCTTCATTCTGCTTTGTTTTCAACTGTCATAGACTTTCCAATTCTCACTAATAATGACAAACCACTATAAGGTTATTTTAAGCAATTTACATTTTTTATTTTGTGAATTTCCTGTTCCTGTTATTTTTTATTGCTGAGTTTTTAAAAATTGCATTGAAGATTCTCTACATAATAATGTTAATTATTTTATTTCTCATAAAAATTATATTTACTTAAATTTTTAACTCTCTTTAATTAAGAAAACTCCTTCATTTACTGTTTTCTTTTTTTTAATCTTTTATTTTATGTTTGGGGGGTATATATGAAGGTTTGTTATATAGGTAAACTTAAGTCATAAGGGTTTGTTGTATAGATTATTTCACCACCCACGTATTAATCCTAATACCCACTAGCTATTTTTTTTCTGATACCACCATCTACCCGTCAAGTAGACCCCAGTATCTGCTGTACCCTTTTCTTTGTTCATGAGTTCTCATCATTCAGTTCCCACATAAGTAAGAATATGTGGTATTTGGTTCTTCTGTGTTAGTTTGCTAAGGATAATAGCCTCCAGCTCTATCCATGTTTCCGTAAAAGACATAATCTCATTCTTTTCTATGGCTGCATAGTATTCCACGGTCCATATGGGCTGCATTTTCTTTATCCACTCTGTCATTCATGGGCATTTAGGTTGATTCCATGTCTCTGCTATTGTGAATAGTCCTCAAAAGGTCATTTACTTTTCTTAGCAAAGTAAATTTTTCAAATTTATTAATTGAACAAACAAAAATTTCATCAGTTTGATCACCTAACATCTTTTATGTGAAACCAAGTATGTCAGTTTTTGGAAGACTGAATTCTAGTCTGGTTCAATTTTTTATTCATCGTGAGTAATTTATTTGGCAGTAAAAAGACTCTTTACATGAATAAATAAAAGAATGACTGGTGAAATGATACTTTCTTCATCTGATATGTGTTTCAAATATACCTCTCTACAGAAAATAATTAAGCTGGAAATTACTGCTGAAAATCTTCAATCCAAATCTTGATTGAAAATGAAGGCATTTTCATTATTTATTGCATTATTTTCTAAATAAATTTTTTAAAATAGATGATAATATTGCTTGCTTTTACATTTTAGAAAAGAAAGGTAAGATTTAAAAAATTCATTGAAAGCATTATCCTATAAGGAAATATTAATCACATGAGATATTGATATAAAATGTAAATATATTATGAGTTATATATAAGAAAAAAATTCATAAAGCATTTCATATGTATCTGATGAAACTTAATTGCACACACAAGTATGATTTTCTGTGAATCTAATGTGCTGTAAGGCTTGCATGAAAACAGTAAGTATATGAGAACTCATACACTGAGGGAAATGACTTGAAAGATAGATAGTATGCCCGGTGCCATTTAATAATGCGAAAATGAAGAGAAAAAGTAGATGGAGTGTTAACAAAATTTTTAGCTATTGATAAAATAAAGCTATTTTAAAGTCCATGAAAAACATGTAATCAAAATGTTCATAAGGAAGTTAGAAATATGTGCAAAATAGGATAAAATAGGATTCATCATATAAAAATGCAAATTATCATAACTGCAGAAAAATAGTTTGAAAATAGCATGTTTGGATACTAAAATAACTTAGAAATCCATAGCACTGAATAATGTTAAAAAAATTCTGAGTGCAAAGTTAGACCTCAGCATATCTTACAGTGTAATGATAAAATCACAGAGCTATCCATTATGCTTTGGATAAAGTTCAAAACCCTCTAAGATAGTTTACAAAGCATCAGCAATCTACTACCTGCAAAATTGTACAAATTCTCCTCTCTATTTGCTTTTCTTGATATATTAAGAATGATTCTTTGACTTCTGGCCTGTGCAATAGTTTAATTTTTTAATCAGGGTGAATTATAGCATTCTTTCCTAAATAATTATCACAGGGATAAGAGCATACAATTTTGTGGATTAAATATGAGTTACATTTTGTACATGTTTGGTGTGAGTTGGCACCCTGAAAAATTACATTGTGATACCCAAGAGGAAGTTCAATAACTCTGGTAGTGATTTATATTTAAATTTTAGTGGAAGGAAGGCTGCTGTTCTGTTAGTTTCTGTCTGGCCATACTGGGTAACTACAGATGACCTTTGTTCTAAACATATTGGCTTGTGTCATACTAATTGTTAATTATTTTTAATATCTTCTTCAAATAGAAGATTGTGACTGGATTTTCCTAGGGAGAAATTAAGATGCAGACAGAAATAGGTGAGGAGTCCAAAACAAATCCCAATCCATATTCTGCTTTACATTAATAAACAGGAATGAATGCATAGACTTGTATGGAAATGGAAGCCTGCCATCTATACAATCTGAAGTTTATGTTCATTTGAAAGGCAATATCTACTAGCTCTTTGAAATTAATGTGCCTAATATCTTAACTGTAATCTTTGCCAATATAAAATACATAGTTGTTTAATTTTTTCAAAAGTTATTTTCCTAAGATGCTGTTAAGAAATTGTTAATAATTCCTCATGCATCAATTTATTGACAGCTAAAATAATTATTTTTCCATTTCTAAACTTTGGGAAAATATTGATCAAGGCAATTCATATTGTTTTTGTTTATTTATTCAGTTGGGATTCATGTATAACTTCAATAGTTTGTGGCAAGGCATTTTGTATCACATGCTTTGGCAGAAAGATGATTTTATTTATTCTTTAGATATTACCATTTTGAAATAAGTTTCCCAAAGTGATTTTCTTCTTTCCATTTCCTACTGTGTGCTTAAAAAGGGATTATAATTTCTAAATGCTTTTGTTGGACTCCCCTGTCTCAGATACATTCATCTTTTACCGGAAATCAGCCTTCACAAAAGAAATAATATTCAGCATGAGGTCATTATTATTCTGTATTTTCATGTCCAGTAGATGATTTATTTCAGAACCTCATTTTCTCATCATATGGTTTTATTCAGCTTACTGATAATGTTTACTTTGTTCAGAATGAATTCCCAAAATAGAATGATTGGACTGGAAGAGACCTCAGGACACTGTTTCATTTTTCCCTCCATCACTAAGTACTTAAATTGTAAGTTCTATAATGAAGACTTCATTTTTAAAAAATAAAACTTTTTACCCACTCACTCTTCATTTTACTTCTTCCCAAATGCATTTCCTCTAGGATTTGTTTATTTGTTTAAAATAGACAAGTAGATTTTAAATATTTAATCTTTAAAAACATGTAGTAAAATATTTCATCATTTCTGCCAGCCATTGATCCCTAAGCAGTTAATTATATAAAATTACACAGAGCCACCCCCATGTACCTCAGAAATGTTTAACCTTTGGTTTCTCTACAGATGAATGTGCTTTCCCCTGGAGTTTTTCTTTGGGTGCACAGATGTGGTTCTCAGCTTCACTGCAGTTTGAGAAGCTCAGACTACCTTGAGAGACAGGTGCATGCAAAGTAGTGAAGGCAAACCAGCAATCAACATAATGGTATTAGTTATCTGTTAGTCCCTGGTCCCAGAAGAAGGCAGTTACTGACTGATGTTTTCATGATCCCTAGCAAAGAGACAGAGAAAAAGAGGGGCAGGGGTGGAAGAGAGACAGAGATTCTATAGTTCTCTCTATTTATTAGAAAGTAGATGCTATCAATTTGACTGGAGTTTATCTAGTCCCAGGAATGATTCCACAGGAAACATCACTGAAGAACCCTGAAGGAGTCATGAAAAGTAGATCTTATGAGCCAGTCATTTTATTAAATAAAAACACAAAAAAGTTGAGCATCTGAAATATGTAAAGCTCATTAATAGGCATAATACGTTTTATTTTCATTTAATCTTCACAACAACCTTTGGGTGTAGGGATTTTTATTCCTATTACCAAGACTTTCTATCATCTATGTTGTAGGGGCCAAGGGAAAACTTTCCCTTCACCCTCTTAAAGTTTACTTTAAGGCAGATTAATAGAAGGAAGTGCAGACAAATTTATTAACGTGCATAGGGGAGAATCACAGAATGATTACCTCACCACACAGGAGGGTTCAGATGTTTTTAGACCCTTCTTTTTATGGGACAGGAAGATGGAGAAGTGTGGATAATATTAGGGGCATAGTAACTGACTTTTAGGGGCATTTCATAGGTTTGAAAAACATACAATGGCCTAGAAAAATATCTACTGGGCCCACAGAGCAAAGAGTGGTTTGTGACAAAAGTCTGTCCAGGTGTGTTGTCAGATGTAAGCCTCCTTCCTGAGGTGTGAGTTCAGTTAATGAAAACTCAGGGAAAGGGTAATTGTTTTAACTAGAGGTAATTATTTTGTCTTTGGAGGGTCTGAACTTTATATACATAAGGGCACTTCAGAGAACAAATTCATTTTGTGCGTTGGGAGAGAAGATTGAGAGACAAGAGTAGGCGACAAGTCAGAGAGACCTTGAGGCTTCTTTTTCAGTTCAGCATTTCAAACACTGTATCTTGGGGTACTGCTTTCTGAGCCCCAAAAATGTTCTGAGGCAGTATCAAGAGTTTCCTGTCTTTAAAATGGCATGACTAATTTTAAAAAATACTTGACAGCATTGGGAAGTAAAAGTCTTATCTAGTGCTTCCTTCCAAGAGAAACCCTAAAGATAGCTAAATAGAACTCAAATATTTTGGGATTAAAATTGTATGTCATTTATCTCATGCTTATTTTTATAATGATCCAAGATCTTGACTCTGTAATTGCCCCTCTGAATTTAGTGAATTTAGCAATCTTATGGTTTATTTCACTTTTTCAAAAGAAACAGGTTATTAAAAATATAATCACAATTTATATTCCTTACCACATTTTGAACCAGGACTAATGCTAACATTAAAATATTTAAGTCTAATAGTGCAGAAATATGGACCATATATTTTTAAGTCTAAAAACTAAAAACAAAAGCAAATGAAGGTTAGAATTAGCACAATTGAGATGTTATTTATCTAACAAAATTATTTTTTATTCAACTGTACTCTGCAAAGAATATATATATTAATTTTCTCTCTCAAAACGTAATTATTTCTCTAAACCTATATTTCTTAATGGTGAAACAATCAGAATGTTTTTGGAATAAGCATTAAGTATATGAAGTTAGGGGTTAAAATTGTGTTTGTAATTACCTGTTATTAATATGAAAAACAGATTAATGACTCTGAAACTACTGAAAATATCTTTTCATATATTACTTTCATCCTGAACGTGGTAATAATTATGCTATAATTGCTAGTTAGCTAAACATTTATGTACATGTGATTATATTGTAATTTTAGCTAAAGATGTTTACACCAAATATGGAAAGATATTACTATGCAATTAGATATTTTCTCTACCTCTCTATGTTATATATTTACATGGTAAATTGGCTGCATAAAATTTACCTTATAAACATGTATATTTATAAAAATATTTTAGAGTAAACTATGTAGTTAATATAAAGGATGTTATTATATTTTAAGGTAATTGGAAAATTTTCACCTAAAATAAAATATACTTTTCCTAAGAAATTATGTTTTAGGGGAAGTTTGTATTCTCGATAATCTCTCATTTGCTTAGAGATCATCCATTTGCAAACTGCGTAGACCCTTGTCATCTATAAGGTAAATATTCTAACAATTTTGAGACTCTCCAAATACATAAAAGGCACTATAATATGTAATTCACCAATGAAAGACAGTGAAACCTATCTGAAAAATGTAAGCAAGCCCTATAGACCTTTAGTAATTTTATAAATACAGGACTAAAGTCATTTATAAATTATACAAATATATTCTGAATGAGCTCTCACTAAAACCACTTTCTATATCACTTTTTAAAATGTTAACACTGTATATGAATTATTCATGAAATAGAAACCATTGCCAAATTAGATATTCCTGTTTTTGTTTTCTGTTAAATTTATATTTTCTAGCTAAGAATCATCACTTTCTGGGTCTTAATTCAACAAAATTATAGGCCAAGCTCTATTTTAGGCTCTACAGCTAGTTATACTTACCTGCCTGCATAGAGCTTACATTGGTTTTGTTCTTTTCTATTACCATTGCTGCTAATTTGTTTTGTATCGTGTTTATAATGAAATCTAAACCAGATGCCATAAAGTATCTTGTATGACCTGTCTGCCTCCTTCCTCAATCTCATGTCTTACTGCTCCCTCTGTGCAGTTCTACTCTAGACATACTAGCCTCCATTCTCTTTATGCAATACTGATATGCTTAACTTTTTCTCGGTTCTGCTTCCTCTGGTTAGAGTTTTCTTTCTCAACTCTTTTCATGCCTAGGTTAGGTAAGCATCCCCGCTGAGATCCTCTGTGGCTATAATGTTTCCTTCCCCCCATTATATCACTCTGCCGTTAACTTTTAACACAATTTATGTACCTGTTTCTGTCTCTTCCATACAGAAATGTAAGCTGGAGAATATACAAAGCATGGTAAACACAAAATAAATAAGTATTTGATTAATGAATAAATAAATAGAAACTAGCTAGAAAGAAAATCATTTCTGTAATCTTTCCTTGACAAATGCTGCTTTCTATACCTTGGAGATTCACAATATAAATTAGTATATTAAAGGCTCTGCATATTTTGTAGTAAATAAACTTTCTTTTACCCAGAGTTTTCCAAGCTTTTTTGAACATGAAAACTTTTTTGTTTGTTTATTTTGTTTTAAAATAATGTCTATTAACATCTTCCTTAGCTATTGTTCTTTGGAACACTTGCTGTAAAAGGTGAGCCTTCTCTTCTTCTATTGAGATCTTCATAATCCAGAATATAATTAAAACAAGCAATCTAATAAATATATGAAAAGTTTAAAGTATTGAGAGGGCCAGTGTGTGTTTTCTGAGTGAACAAAGTTCAGTTCTAGAAGAAAAAGGCATTTTGCCATTAGCTTTCTAGCCCATGGTTGACAGTTGATGGAACAGTACATGGAGCAATATGTTTTCCTTTTGCTTTCTAAATTTGTATTAAGCCCATAGCAATTCTGCAGCAAATTTAATGATGTTGTGGGAAAAATGTCTAATATAAAATATTTTATTATAAAAGTATCAGAACATTAAGGCTATACTATATCTGCCTCTATATTTGACAGCAGAGAAAAAAGTACTACAGTTGTAAGGAAGGGAGGTAGAATGATTTTAGAAATGAAAATGAAAACCTGAACCGTATAGGCATGATTCCCTAGTGCTCAGCTCTGTGGGATGTTTTTATTGTATTTTGTGTTTGACAAAACATAGTTTTTCATGTTCAGATTTTGGGGAAGTTTAGCCTGTTCTGGCATAATGGATTAAGTTATAAGGTCTCTTGCCATTTCACAAATGATATGTTGAAATTTATTTGCTACAATTCCTCATGAAACAACTTCAAATTGCTAATAAAAAGAGGAGATGCAACTTTAAAAGACTTGGAAGTCTTCTAAGGGGCATTTTTTTTTTCTACTCTTCTTATTTGGAAGGATAAAAAATATTGAAAAGTGAATTGCAAGTGAAATAAAGAAACTCTGCTTTAGATGTTGGACCTTATTTCATTTTTCACAAACTATTAATCATCAAAACTTTAAAAGAACACTAAAGACTATCTCCACTAAATCCAGATGATTAGACTGAAATTCCATCTGCCTAAATTATTATCAGTTTTTGAAAGTATACTAACAAATAGATTGTGTTCCTTGAGAACGTGTCACAAATTGATTCCTTTTTAAAATGGGTTTTAGGTGAACCTAAAATAGACAAATCAACTGGTAGACTTTTTTATTTAACTGGATTACATAGACTGAACCATTATTCTGATGGCCCTTTTAAGAAACATTCAGAAATATTAAGGGATTGTCTAAAATTCCATCCAAACTCATTTCCCACCATCATAAATGAACTAAAGTTTATTCATAACTATGGATTCTATCCACAACTACAATGGATTTTAAGACCCATTCATATTTATTTCTTGACCTCTTTTTACTAAGCACTTAATGTGTGTGAGCTCATTTCATTCTCACAACAACCCTGAGGTAGACATTAAACACTATTATAATTTACAGAGTAGGAAAGGGGCCAGAATTCAAAAACTGCCTCTTTGCAAGCATAGTTACTTCCTGACAATTGGTGTTGAAGACTAGAGATGTAAACTTTGAATTAAGGTAGAAAGAATGAGTAGTTGAAAGCAAATGAACATGTGTAAATGTTAAGGAGAGGATTGTAGATAAAGACAGTAGGAAGCAACTGTAAACTAAGTTTTTTTTTTCTTTCCTAATAATAGGATTCAATATGAAAGGTCAGGAAGAGGAGCCTCCCTTTTGGAGGTCTAAGAAAAAAAGATTGGTTTCTGAGAAAAATGGTAAAGTTTTCAAGGAAGGAAGTCAATAGTGTTAAAGAAGTCATTGATGTCAGAATTTCATGTAGTTGGTCTGCATTTTTGAGTGGAGGTACCTCAGCCATTGACTAAGACAGCCACATCATATCCAGATGAGATACTGAAAACCACCAAATAGAACATAACCATAACTAGTTATGTTCAATTTGAATCATTCACTGAGCATTTACTGAGCCCCTACTATATTCCAAGAACTTGGTTAGCTTTTTTTCTATATAAAGACATTTGCCCTATTCCTAACAGATGGTGTATAGAATAAGAGATACATGGGTAATTATGACACATCTTGTAAATATTATAAAAAAGGATCAGAAAGAGGTTGTGGGTCAGTGCTACTTTGGTGGAAGTTAGTTGGGCAGAATCAAAGATTTTTTTTTTTCTGAAAGTGTGATTTAAACTATGATATACTTGAAGGCTAACTAGGAGAGATTAGAAACTGAATTAAGAGATGAGGTATATGCAAAGCATGGGATGTGAAATAACTCAATGTCTGTGGAAGGCCACACATCACTGGGGTGGGATGACCTTATTAAAAGAGGTTTTTCACTTTTCCTTGATCCCTTAATTATCTTGTCCATGTTTAACCTCCATTAGTGTCATTTAGGCATACAGTCAAGCACTGCATGATGGCATTTCAGTTAATGATGGACCACATATATGACGGTGGTCCCCTAAGATTATAATACTGTACCTTGTCTATGTTTAGAAATGTTTAGATACATAAATGCTTACCATTGTGTTACAGTTGCCTACAGTATTCAGTACAGTAACATGCTAGATAGGTTTTTATCCTAGGAGTAACAATCTATACCATACGGATTAGGTATGTAGTAGGCTCTACCATCTAGGTTTGCATAAGTACACTGTATGATACTCGCGCAATGACAAAATCCTCTAAAGATGCATTTCTCAGAAGATATCCCTATAGTTAAGCAATGCATGACTGTAATCATATTTATCCTTTGATTTACTTGTATTATGACAATTAACTACAATTCCAAAATTGGCTGTCATTCTATAAAATTCCACAGATCACAAACATAATTACCCATAGTAGCCAAGAAAGCAAAGTTCCAGAGTGAAGCTGGCAGGATGAAAGTATTTGCACGCTTCCTGAGTTTGGTGGAGCTCAAGTAAGACGGAGGAGACTCTGTCTGTGCCTTGGGGAGGCAGGGCTTGTGTTGTTGCCATGGAAGAAAAGAAAATTGGTTTCAAGTAAAAGCACTTTTATTCAGAAATAGGTTTTAAATACTCTAACTGATCAGTGTACTCTAGAACTAATTTAGGTCAATAACATTAGCTGCCTCTTACATATTCATGTTTTCACATTCAAATAAGTTATTGATTGAACATTTATAATATGGAATATTTATCTCTATTTCATATATGATTCTTTTAATATAATTCTTTTGATATGGTAGTTCTTTTGATATGATAGTCCTTTTGATAATTTTATTCTTCTCTGAAAGTGCTGCATATTTTCTGTTATGTATTAATTTGTTTTGGAAAGAGAATTAAATGCAAAACATATAGTTCTGATAGCAGAACTATGAGTTGACTGTAGTAAGCAAAAGCAGTTTAAGTATTCACTGAGGACAACACAGTAATAGGAACACTCAGCCTAATTCTATAAACACGACATCTATTAGGAGAGGCATAAAATTTACATTTTGCCTTAGGTCATGATTTTCAACTGTTGGAGAAAGATATAACAGAGGAATTGATGTGCAAAGAAACATTTCTACTCCTGACAATAGAAATATTTAAGTGTACTTTTAAAATTACCAACTTAAATATTAGGAATGGCATATGAAACATGCATCTCAACTCCACCCCCAATAAATCTGGTGACATGGTGTTTTATAATCAGATACAGAAAGAGTTAATAGCAACAGTTTAAAAATATTTAGTTAATGCAGATAAATTACCCAATATCCTCATAATTTGCAAAGTTGGCAATACTCTAGGTCAGTGGATTATCAGAAAAGCACCTAAAACTTAAAAAGCTTTACTAGAAAATAATCATAATTCAATGATTACCAATGTATATCTTGTTTAGAGAATTAACCATTTGTGAGTGTGTGTGTATGTGTAGAGGAAAATGCACATGCACATGTGTATGTATAAAAAGAAAATATTCAAATTGCCAATATAGGAACATTTATTTAGGAATAATTAGAATCATCTAATCATAGAATTACTAGAGACTTTTAGGGATTATTCAGTCCCAGTGAACAGCCTTAACCTAACCTTCCAATTCTGTATGTTTTCTTTGTCTTCATTCTTTTGATGTCTCCACAGTACTTGGTTATGGCATCAACTGAAAAATAGTTTAAGTATAATTTTGTTAGATATTTGATATAATTTTCCAAGTAATAATATCATTAAAAGTTTAACTTTCTTTTCACATATCATATAACGCTTTTGACTCTCCTACAGAGTAATAGGGGAAAAAGTTTATAATAAATCTGATAAAACCCATGATGACAATTATCTTTTTCTTGGTTTGCTTCCAAGTTTTCTTGTCTTTGCTTTCACTGGTGTATAGTCTAGTTCCCTTAAGTTAATTTCTAACACAATGGAATATTAAAATTAATTCATGAATTAATCTAGTAAAAGTATCATGTTTTCTTAACACATATATTTTTAAAAGGCCGTTTTGTGTTTGTAGACACAAATCTTATTTTACAGAATATTATCAATTCTGAAAACAATTTTATCAAAAAATTACAAACACGAAAATCAGCCAGTAAGCAAAATGCTGTTCCTCGTTTTTTACAATCATTGTAAGTTGTTGTTAAGACACCTTTGATTCCACATTCACCTGCTTCAACCTTTATTCTCTCCCTGTTACTCTGTAGGTTTCTTTGCTGCTTCTCGCACTTTGAATTGCTATATTCGTCGATACTTGGTCCTTACCCATTTGCCTTTTCTTTCGGCATTTTCTCCAGCAATATTATCTCTTATTTCAATGTCAGCAATTATTTCAACAGATATCCCTTGCTTTAACCTCTCCCTGAGCTCTAATCCAGAGTTGGCTGTACTCTAGATCAGTGGATCATCAGAAAAGCACCTAAAACTTAAAAAAGCTTTACTAGAAAATCATCATAATTCAATGATTATCAATGTACTTCTTGTTTAGAGAATTAACCATTTGTGAGTGTGTGTGTACGTGTCTCCTCCTGGACATATTTACCTGAATGTTTGTCACCTCAGTATGGGCACCAAATTCATTAACCTCTATGCCCAACTTACTCCTCTTACAAATTCCATTTCTTTCTATGGCATCATAATATTCCCAGTCACTGTGCACATCATTTTTAATTGTGCTCTGAATAAACCAAAGTTTCTCAGTGGAGCCTCTGAAATCCAGTGGGAGACTCTTTATATGGAGCTCTGGGCTTCATGCTCTCCTCCCCCTTTGAAACAGAGCAGCTATACTTTTATTTATTTGATACATGGGGTTTCTGGATAAAATTATATGTGTAAATGAAATAAGCTGGTAAACAAGCAAGCAAACCTAAAAACCACAGAGGTATTTTAAAAATATTTAAGCCATTTTTAATTATTTATTAACATAACACCACTCACATTAACAATCATCATCTCAAAGCTTTTAAACCTATATTTATTTCTGCTGGAAAATTTTGAACTCTCTTTTAACGCCAGATGATAATGTTGCCATGTATGAGTGAATGCCTGAATATACTAGGTCTCTGAGATGTTTGTAGTCTCTCTCAAGTCTTATCCAAACAATGTATCCCTAAGAAAACATTATCCTGGTGTATCTCTCTTGTTCAGCAAGTACCTGTGATGGTTAATTTATGTGTCAACTTGACTGGGCCAAGGGGTGACCAAATATTATTCTGGGTATGTCTGTGAGGGTGTTTCTGGATGAGATTAACAGTTGAATCAGTGGGCTGAGGAAAGCAGATTATCTTTCCTAACTTGGGTGGACCTCAACCAATCAATTGAAGACCTGAATAGACTGAAAAGCCTGTGTACCATTATCGAAAGCAGTTTGGTGATTTCTCAAAGAATTTGAAACAGATCTACTATTTGACCAAGGAACTCCATTATTGGGTGTATACTCAAAGGAATATAAATCATTCTACCATAAACACACTGCATGCGTATGTTCATTATTGTACTATTCACAATAGCAAAGACATGGAATCAACCTAAATTCACATCAATAGGAGACTGGATAAATGCAATGCAGTGCAAGGATGGACGTGGTGCCTCACGCACGTAATCCCAGCACTTTGGGAGGCTGAAGCAGGTGGATCGCTTGAGCTCATAGTTTGAGACCAGCCTGGGCAACATGGAAAAACCTCATATCCACAAAAAATCCAAAAATTAGTTGGACATGATGTTGCACACCTGTAGTCACAGCTACTTGGGAGGCTAAGGTGGGAGGATGGCTTGAATTCGAGAGGCACAGGTTTCAGTGAGCTGAGATTGTACCACTGCACTCTAGCCTGGGTGACAGAGCCAGACCCTGTCTGAAAAAAAAAGAAAGAAGAAAGGAAGGAAGGAAGGAAGGAAGGGAGGAAGGAAGGAAGAAAGAAAGAGACAAGGAAAGAAAGAAAAAAGAAAAGGAAAGAAAAAAATAATAGATACATACCATGGAATACTACACAACCATAAACAAGTGAGGTTATGTCCTTTACAGCAACATGGATGGAGATGGAGGCCATTATTCTAAATGAACTAATGCAGGGACAGAAAACCAAATACTGAATGTTCTCGTTTATAAGTGAAAGCTAAACTCTGAGTATATATAAATGCAAAAACGGGAAAAACGAACACTAGGGCCTACTTGAAGGTGGAGGGTGGGAGGAGGGTGAGGATCAAAAAACTGCCACTGTGCTTATTACGGGGGTAACAAAATCATCTGTACACCAAACCCCTGTGACACACAATTTACTGATACAACAAACCTGCATATGGTCCCCTGAACCTAAAATGAAAGTAAAAAAATAAAAGGCTGGGTCAGAGGGCACTTTGCCTACTTGACTGTTGAGCTGGGACACTGGCCTCTTCTTGTCCTTGGGCTGGAAGTTTAACCATCAGTTCTCATGAATCTCAGGACTCTGGACTCTGAACCTATACCATTAGCTCTCATGGGTCTCCAGCTTGCTAACTGCAGACTTTGGTGCTGTTCAGCTTTCAGAATTATGTGAGCCAATTCCTTATAATAAGTGTCTAAGTTTGTTTACACACACACACACACACACACACACACACACACACGGGAATATGATGCTGCAGTGGACAGAAATAAGAGTAGGTTAGGAATACAGAATAAATTTGCATCACCAGCCTTACCACAAATAAAAGAATATATCCTATTGTTCTTGATAAACCTGACTAATATAGTTCCCTCTCCATAAAGCACCACTGTCACTCAACTTTGCATGCAATAATCCTCTTCATTCTTCTAGTGATAGCACAAGAAAAGAAGAAAAACTTCCCTGATGTCTCTAAGCAAAAATTATCTTTTCCCTTAGAAATCATGCAGTATTTTTTTGCATTTCTCTATTTCACATATTACATTTTATGCTGCATTATAAATATTGATAAATACGATTTTTGATTTCTACTACTCTAGGATCCCTATTTTTGACTTATATATAATTTATACCTATCTGAATGACTCATATAAAAGAACTTTTAAAAATGTGCTTAATAAATCAATGTATCTTTTTAAATTATTTTAAACAAAAGCAAATAACATAAGCATAATGAGGTAATTTTTCTAATTTTGTTAAAGTTATTTGGTGTCAGAGAAGAAAGAAGAAATCACATTTATTAAGTTTTCATTCTTGTTATAGGAAATACTCTTTCATATTTCAGGTGGTGTACATGTGAACTGTTCACATAATATATTTGTGGCAAATCTAGTGTGAAGTGGCTCAGGCAAGATTCCAAAAAGGCGGAATTCCAGGAGGCTATTGAATTTTCACTATCAACTTCATAATGAGTTATTTTTTGACTAAGTTTTCATCAGAAACCAGCTATAGATTTAGTCACCAAAAGGTCTTTCCCGCAGAGTTTCTAATAAGGCCATCAAAATCCATCTGTTGGAGAAAAGTGTTTTATCTCACAATATGTCTTGAGTTGAGTTGGCTTTATCAAAAATTACACTTCATTCTTTTCTCACTCTGCAGAAGCAAGATCTCATCACCAGGCTTACCACAAAAAAGAATGTATATTTCTTCAAGTATCTTTATATCTGAAGTCTCTGTCTTAGCTACTCTTTTTAAAGTGGTCTATATATACTTAGAATGGACTCAGTTTTCTTTTCTCTTTTCTAATATCTTTTTTTTTTTTTTTTTTTTTTTTTGAGACGGAGTTTCTTTCTGTCACCCGGGCTGGAGTGCAGTGGCGTGATCTCGGCTCACTGCAAGCTCCGACTCCCGGGTTCACGCCATTCTCCTGCCTCAGCCTCCCAAGTAGCTGGGACTACAGGCACCCGTCACCAAGCCCGGCTAATTTTTTGTTTGTTTGTTTGTTTGTTTGTTTTTGTATTTTTTAGTAGAGACGGGGTTTCACCGTGTTAGCCAGGATGGTCTTGATCTCCTGACCTCGTGATCCGCCCACCTCGGCCCCCCAAAGTGCTGGGATTACAGGCGTGAGCCACCACACCCAGCCTCTGTTTTCTAATTTCAATACAAATCATACTTCACCTGAATGATGTACTATTTTCGCAATGAAGATACAAAGTTTATAGATGGACTGGTGGTTTCTAGTGTAGGTTCATGATCTGTATAATCAAAGTGTCTTTTACAGATACGCATCCCAGAATTCTAAAGCCAGGTGTGCTGTATCAGCATTTCCAGAGAGTGTGATAAATATAAATATATATACTATATATTATATATGTATATAATAAATACATACATAAATTACATAGTATATATAGCTTGAAGATGCATCCTCCCCTTGGTTTGTAAACCTAAACTAGATTTGGCAAATAGATAAGAATTTGTTCTGTGGTTCTCCAAAGAACAAAACTAGAGAGGTTGTTATACATTAATAGAGGAAGCTTAAACTTGAAAGGAAGAATGGAAACTTGCTCATAGTAAGCTAATAAAGGGGGCTCTATTTCACTTCTCTGAACTTGCAAAATACACTGTTAGATTGCTGTGATTGTTTAATCAGTGTTTGAAGAACAACCCTCTGGATCTTCTATATCAAAAAATACTGTTAATTTAATTATAAGATTCTATTGTTTTAATAAAGGTATTAGAATTAATAATTTTAGATATCACTGGCAGATACTAATGACATCAATTAATACATTTTTAATTAAACCAATACTTCATAAATAAGAATTCTATTAAAATTTATTTTTTCTGAAATATATTTTCTAAATACTTTCCTAAGGGTTTGTTTCCTAAAATATAAAACTGTACAAAATTTTAGAATGAAAATGGGTATATTATGAATATTACTTGGGTGAAAACTATTTTGCTCATATGTTATATAAAAATATTTATTTATCATTTCCAGATATAGATATGAAGCTGGGCACTGGGAATACAGAGAAAAGTAATTTAATTTTAAAATATTTTTTGTGGCCATAGAAGCTTTCAAATTAGCAAGTTTGTATTCATCTTTTAAATTTTATCTCCAGAAACTGGTTTTCTATTTATGTTACTAATTTTTTTTCAGTTTGTCTTATGGCAGCCATATCAAATTCCTTCACTTTTTCTTGGGAAGGAGATGAATGTTTTAAAGGATTATGGATTCCAAAATAAAATACTTAGCATATAAATTTATGTATTTAATTGTTAATTCATTATTTGTGCTGTTCAAGCAGACGGTGTGGTAATTTGTCTATAAAAATATGTTGATCAATTTTGTGAAAAAGCCTGGCATACAATTCGTTCAAATTTTATGACACTATAAACTGACTTAGGATAAAAAAATTAGTTAAGGAATAAATGTGATAAGCATGAGCAACTCTGACTGGCAAAGACTCTTATATTAAGAATAGTAAAAATAGGAATAGAATCAACATTGCTGACAGTAGCATGAGAGTAGGTTTTAGGAAAACTGAATAAGAACACATACCAGTTTTTATTCTTGTTTGGAGTTAGAAGAACAAGGATTATATGTTTCTTTCTGATTGGAGGTGATGATCTAATATTAACTAACATAAACTCCTTCACTTCATTTGTGTTTCTTTTGTGTTCCTCATTCGGAACAAATTGAAATAAGCTGGGGCCATTAAAGAGGTGTATTTTACAACATTCATATTGGGTAATGGTCAGAATCCAAAATAACCTGAACAGAATAGAATAGTAGATTCAAATAACAGAATCTAATGTGGAATCCTGAAATTAGTTTTAAAAATCATGTGTGAGAGTTCGCTAGTATTTGATGGTTTGAACAAAATGTCTCTACTGGTCATTTGTGGCAGGCTTTCAATCATATTGGGCAGAAATCTGTTTTGATTCATCCATGCCTCTCTGACATTCCTGCTATTAAATGTGTGGACTATCTTTTCTGTGGAATAGTATAAATGAGGATTTTGAGTTATCATGAAATCATGAGTGGTATCTGGGATTTATATACCCCTTTTGTTTCAAGGACTCTGAAAAAATAGCACACATAGAATATAGTAGTAGAGCAAATGGAAATGATGTGGATATTTTCTTGTCATCTGATTTGATGTGACTGAACAGTGTGATAAGGCTTCTAAAGAAGGTCATGAGGTTTCAGGTTCCATAAACAGTCTGAAACAAGGGATATGAAAGGTCAATCATACTTTTGGGTGTATTTTTCCCTGTTGACACTGAATCTGGAGTATTTGTTTACAAGCATCTTCTACTGATAGAATGTTAGAGTGGCTCAAAGCTGCGATATACCATGATTGGTTAGGGAAAAAGATAATTTATATCCCTCCTCCCCTGGTAATAAAAAGATTTAGCAGAAAGAAAGCAGAAGTAGCTACAATAAATTCATCTCCAGAGGAGTAAATGCAAAAAAGAACTACTACATAATGTGTAGCATACAATTTGATTGTGAGAAAGTGAGCTTGTAGCCAGATAGAATTGAAAGAGGGGACTATATGAACACCAGTTGAAGGTATAAAGGAGAAAATTAATGTTACTTGGAGAGCTGAACTATATAATTGCTTGGCTGTCATTCAAAGCTGAGATTATTTCACTTTATTTTGTCTAAAGCAGTGGTTCTCCATCAGGGGTAATCTGTCTAC
This sequence comes from Homo sapiens, assembly GCF_000001405.40. NCBI lineage: Eukaryota > Metazoa > Chordata > Mammalia > Primates > Hominidae > Homo > Homo sapiens. The sequence goes on from NC_000012.12 coordinate 73,136,071, forward strand.
TCTCCTGAGGACATTTGGCAATGTCAACATACATTTTTGTTTGTTATGAATGGGGAGGCTCTACGGGCACTTTGAGGATAGAGACCAGGGATGCTGTTAAACATCCTATAATGCAGTGGTACCCAACCTTTTTGGCACCAGAGGCCGATTTCATGAAAAACAACTTTTCCATGGACTAGGGATGGGAGGATGGTCTCAGGATCATTCACATGCATTACATTTATTGTGCACTTTCTTTCTATTACTATTATATAATTATAAGGAAATAATTATACAACTCACCATAATGTAGAATCAGTGGGAACCCTGAGCTTGTTTTCCTGCAACTAGGCAGTCTTTCTGGGGGTGATGGTAGACAGTGACTTATCATCAGGCATTAGGTTCTCATAAGAAGCGTCCAACCTAGATCCCTTGCATGCACGCTTCACAATAGGGTTCCCACTCCTATGAGAATCTAATGCCACTGCTTATGTGACAGGAAGCAGAGCTCTGGCAGTAATGCAAGTCATGGTAAGCAAACTCGCAGAAATACAGATAAAGCTTCATTGGCTCACCATGCCGCTCGCTTCCTTCTGTGTGGTCTGCCTCCTAACCTTTACCAGGGGTTGGGGACCCCCTGCTGTAATGCACAGGATAGCTCTCCAAGACAAAAAATTATTCAGCCCAAAATGTCAATAATGCCAAGGTAGAAAAATTCTGGGCTAAATTAACAGAAAACTGTTTGCATGCAGTAAAGTATAAACTTTTTCATGTTTATGAATTGATTAAGCCTGAGAAATGTCTGTAGTGGTTAAAAAACAAAAGGATACACCCTCAACTTGTTTTTGTAACAGCATGTTTTATGTTTTTTAAGTTTTCTAAGAAAAACTAATTTGTATTCAATTTTTAAGGTTCACTTTGTACGTTTTCCTCCTTTGTACCTTACTTGTGATGTGTTCCTTTTATTTCCTGGCTTTCCTATTTAGTAACTTTGTTTAAGTTCCATTTCTACCACTGAATTAGGAATTTTCCTATTCTACCTCTCATAGTGATAGTGATATCTTGCTTTCCCCAAAATTGCTGTCCAAATTCAACTTAGTAATTACATTTGATCCTTCAGAACTTACCTTGTAGTTTCTGTTCTAAAATGTTGGGTAATTTTCTTACATGATTGAAGTATGTAATCTTTAGCTATGACAACATTTCAAGTCACAGATTTAAAGAAAAGAAAAGCCAATGCTTATGTATTACATATACAGTTACCATTTTTCTAATTATGAAGATTCTGGAGTTCCTGAAAAAAGGGGGGTTGCTGATACAGAGATTCATCATTTCAGTATATTTCCTCTTATCTTCCTTATGACAGCATTCTGCTGTTAGTTAAGTAGTAATAGCAAACATTAATTTAATTTAACAAATAGAGATAAAGATTTTATGTAATGGACATTCTAGACACTAAAAAGATTAACTTATTTAATCTGTATAACAACACATGAATCATCAGTATTATTATCTCATTTACAGATAAAGTCACAGAAGAGTTAAATAACATGTCCAAAGCCATTCAGCTAAGTCACAGTACTAAATTCAAAGCTAGCTAGTCTGACTCCACAGTCCACACTTTTGAACACTGTCTTTCTAAATTTTATATTACATATAAAATACTTACATGTATGTATATAGCTATGTACATTATTGTACACAAAACAAGAGTTGTACAAATTATTAGCATATTTTACATATACAACAATCCTATGATTGTTTATTTTTTATTTATTATTCCACATTTTGGAATAGAAATAATAGGTTCAGAGCATTTAAATAACTTGCCCCAAATCCTATTAATTTGGGAAGAAATCCCAGCTAATCAGTGGAAGAAATGTGATTTGAACTCTGGAAATTTGACTCTATTCCACAATGAAATATAATATTGTTTCCTACAAAAATGTGTTAAATGAATGAGTAATTTTTTAACATGATTTTTTTTCTTAGTACTCTTTTTTTTAACATATTTTAAGTTCAGGGGTACATGTGCAGGTTTGTTACATAGATAAACTTTTATCATGGGGGTTTGTTGTACAGATTATTTCATCACCCAGGTTTTAAGCCTACTACCCATTAGTTATTTTGCCTGGTCCTCTCTCCCTCCTCCCAACCTTCACCCGCTGATAAGCCTCAGTGTGTATAGTTCTCCTCAATGTGTCCATGTGTTCTCATCATTTAGCTCCCACTTATAAGGGAGAACTTAACATGAATTTTAACTGGGAATGGTCTTGTCATTCACGAATTGTTTTCTAGCTTGCTACCTTACTTTAAATACTGGAGTGTGAAAGAGGTATGCAGGTAGATTTTTTAGCTTTATTGCATACACAGCTACCATGTTAGCTGAAGGCGTGTTTCTTTTCTGGACATTATTCCATACCCCTTTTAATACAGGTAAAATTCCAGCAATGCAAACATCCAGATAAAAATATATATAACTACTCTGCTGTATTGGCCATGATTTCTGTCTTTTTAGGCCCTCAATGTTACCCCACCAACTGTTGCTTATACAAATAATGAGTATTATTTCTAATAATTTAAGAAATAAAATAATATTTCTCACTTTTAATACAATATTTACTGAAATGCTTTTCAGAAATATCTACTATTGGAAAAATAAAACTCAAGATCAAAAAGAAACAAAACTATTAAATTACTTTTGGTACTTTGGTAGACTATATTGTCACTATTAGAATAGCTATGAAGGATATCTAAATAGTTATGAAGGCTATCTAATGACATGGGAAATGTGTATGTTATGTTACTATGCAAAAGGTAAAATTAATATCTGCACCTTTAAAATAATAATAGAAGAAAAGATGAGCAGAAAATATATTAAAATATACTTTCAAAATTTCTTCAAAAATTAAATATTTCTTATTTTAATTTTTAATGCTTAATTTTCAGAGCTGAAACAGTTATCTCCTTAGATGATTAAGTCTTATGGTTTATTTTCATTTTTAAATATTGTTAGAAGACATTTATTTATTGAGGTATGGAATAAATTTTGTTTTCCAAATATACTCACTTTCATATAAAAAGAACAATAGGAAAGATATTAATTCATTGAAAAATTATTGAGAATTTGATATGTGTGCAAATGCTATTATGGGGATATTTGTGATAAAAATAAAGTCAAGATATGATCTCTGCTCTCCGGGAACTCATAGGCAGGTGTGAATAGCTTCAGCACTATGTCGATTATAAGAGTTTTATGGAAGATGTACAAATAGAGGACCATGGGAACTTAAGGAAGTACAGTTCTAGACAATGGGGATCTGCACGGGGTTCATGAAATAAGTCATTCATGCAGACCTTTGATGATGAGGACTTCACAGACAGAGAAAGGTGTCTAGTCACTAGAAATAGAGTGACTAGAATTCTAAACTGTTCTAGTTTCTTTTTTTAATTATACTTTTTAAAATTATACTTTTAATTTAATTTAATTACTTTTTAAAAAAATTATACTTTAAGTTCTGGGATACATGTGCAGGTATACATAGGTATACACATGTCATGGTGGTTTGCTGCACCCATCAACCTATCATCTACATTAGGTATTTCTCCTAATGCTATCCCTCCCCTAGCACCCACCCTCCGACAGGCCCCAGTGTGTGATGTGTTCCCTGTGTCCATGTGTTCTCATTGTTCAACTCCCACTTATGAGTGAGACCATGTGGTGTTTGGTTTTCTGTTCCTATGTTACTTTGCTGAGAATGATGGTTTCCAGCTTCATCCATGTCCCTGCAAAGGACATGAACTCATCCTTTTTCGTGGCTGCATAGTATTCCATGGTATATATGTGCCACATTTTCTTTATCCAGTCTATCATTGATAGGCATTAGGGTTGGTTCCAAGTCTTTGCTATTGTGAATAGTGCTGCAATAAACATATGTCTGCATGTGTCTTTATAGTAGAATGATTTATAATCCTTTGGGTATATACCCAGTAATGAAATTGCTGAGTCAAATGGTATTTCTGGTTCTAGCTCCTTAAGGAATCACCCCACTGTCTTCCACAATGGTTGAATTAATTTAAACTCCCATCAACAGTATAAAAGCATTCCTATTTCTCCACATCCTCTCCAGCATCTGTTGTTTCCTGACTTTTAATGATTGCTATTCTAACTGGCGTAAGATGGTATCTCGTTGTGGTTTGGATTTGCATTTCTCTAATGACCAGTGATGATGAGCTTTAACACCACACATCTGTGATAATCTGATCTTTGACAAACCTGACAAAAACAAGCAATGGAGAAAGCATTCCCTATTTAATAAATGGTGTTGGGAAAACTGGCTAGCCATATGCAGAGAACTGAAACTGAACCCCTTCCTTACATGTTATACAAAAATTAACTCAAGGTGGATTAAAGATTTAAATGTAAGACCTAAAACCATACAAACCCTAGAAGAAAACCTAGGCAATACCATTCAGGACATAGGCATGGGCAAAAACTTCACGACTAAAACACCAAAAGCAATGGCAACAGAAGCCAAAATTGACAAATGGGGTCTAATTAAACTAAAGCGCTTCTGCACAGCAAAAGAAACTATTGTCAGAGTGAACAGGCAACCTATAGGATGGGAGAAAAATTTTGCAATCTATCCATCTGACAAGGGGCTAATATCCAGAATCTAGAGGGAACTTAAACAAGTTTACAATAAAAAAAAACCCATCAAAAAGTGGGTGAAGGATATGAACAGACTCTTCTCAAAAGAAGACATTTATGAGGCCAACAAACATATGAAAATAAGCTCATCATCACTTGTTTTAGTTTCAACACTTTTTTTTTCTTATCCCAAATGTCAAACTGCAATTTTTCAATGTCAGCTCCACATAATACTTCTAACAGCTTGGAATCTTTAAATTTGTGCTCTGCAGATGCTATTTTGAAACATGAATGCATTTTGTTCTATCTACTTTCCATGTCCACACAAACCTAGGTGACAGGATATGAGCATAGTATTTATATCCATGGACTACTCTCCTTCAATACTCATTATTTTCTTAATCTTGTTTCTATTTGCTCTTGAGGGACCCAAAAATTATGAGACGCATAAGTAATAACAATTTTTTGTCAAACATCCCATGCAGTGTTATTAGTGTTTTCTAATTATCTTCTTTGCTGTAAATCAGTAATCATAAGTAGAGAGTTTTTCTTGTTATACCTGCAAATATGGTTACAATATCAAAACAGTATCTTTATTTGAATGTGCCAGTTGTTTTACTGAAGCAAACAATGACAGCAAAGGTCTACTGAATAAATGAACTATAGAAAATCATGCATTTTGGATTTGGATTTGAGTTGTACTTTTGAACTGATTCCCTAAAAATTTCTTCTGCTAAAGATCCCACTTTACGCATTTCTATTTAAATAGGTATTTAAGAGCATGGTTATTGGGAGAAGAAGGGTTCTTAATTCTTCTTCCTATAAGTCATGTCTAAAAAAGTTATCCTTGAAGATGAAATCAGAGAGTGGAATGAACTTCTTAGGCTACTGATACCTGCCATCAACTAAATCTCAAAGTAGCATACCCTAATTCTTCTAAGGCTCAGATGACATTTTCATGCCATTTCTATTTCACCCAGACCAAATTTGAAAGTATTTTAAGAGCAAATGCAATCTAGTTATCTTCCTTTTTCTTTCAAAAAATACCACAGAATTGGAATAGCAATTCACACACTCTCTCTCAAAGTATTTAAAACTTAAAGATAGTTCACCATCTAAATCACTGGGCAGTTTTTACCAGTTTTTACTGCAGTCATATTCCTTTAAACTTCTTTGCCAGATGTTCATTCTCTTCATATTCTTAGTACCTTGTCATTTTGACTACTACTGGCTAATACTTTCCAGCTTAAAAAATATGGTTTGAAAGAAATTGGCTCTGGTTCTGAAAATAACAGCACAAATGTCAAGTCTCCAGGTTAACTAAAAATGCCATAACACAGAGAATATATGCATGTTTTGTTTTACATGATATGCAACAGTATCTACCATTGTTTGAACACAACTCAGAATGCTGGTAAAAGGATTACTGATTCTGAAGTGTTTGTGATATTGAATTGCAAATCTTGACCTAATATATGGTCAAATTATCATTTTAGGAAATAGAAGAAGTTCAGTTTAAATTATGAAAATACTCTATATGCTCACTTAGTGTCCTTATCTTGAGCAAAATTGTTCCTTTTGATGTCATTTAACTATGGTTTTATTTCCCTTTTCCTCATGCTTCTATTTACCCCCAGAAATGCATGTACTCTCTGTATTCACATGCAGTGCTGTGCCAAACTAAATGCTATGCTAGAACAATAGTTTCTAAAATTATAGAAATGGGAACAGGAAATAGAGAATTGTATGGAACATCAAAATCATGATGATTAAAATTATGATCTTTATGAATAACCATGTAATTCAAATGAGTAAGGTTTGCTGTAAGTTTTCTGATTTCTGATATTCCCTATGGTAAAGGCCATGAATGAACTTCAGAAGAGGGAAATCTATCTATCTATCTATCTATCTATCTATCTATCTATCTATCATCTGTCTATTATCTATCTGTCTTTTACCTATCATCTATCTATTACCTATCTATCTATCTATCTATATCTATCTATCTATCATCTATCATCTGTCTATTATCTATCTATCATCTATTATCTATCTATCATCTATCTATCATCTATTATCTATCTATCATCTATCTATTATCTATCTACCTTTACCTATCTATCATCTGTCTATCTATTACCTATCTATTTATCTATCTATGTATCTGACTATCTATCTATCATCTATCATCTATCTATCTTTTTTGGAAAGAATAAAGCTCTACAATTTCCTGTTTCCAAAGATCAAGACTCCTCTACCATTTACAAAACCGCTACAGGTTTTTCCATTTCCAACATCAGTAGAAGCAAGACAGCCAAACCCAAAGAAACTGATTACACAGGTATTGTTTTTCTCTGATTTGATTTACCTTGTGGTTTTCATACCTGTAATTTCAAGAACTACTATATTTAAAAATCGAAGGCACACACAAAAAATGTAACATTGAACATCAGTAAATGGCAGTTTTGTGTTCATACATTTTTGCCATATCACTGGGTACTTGCTATATTGCAGACAATTGCAGAATTTTTAATATAGTAATATGTGAAACATACCTCTTGGACTTAGAAATGAAAGCAACATGTAATGGAAAGATTTCTAAACTTTCCATAAAAATTAATATAAATGAGAAAATCTAATGTCTTATGTCACTGATAATTATTAGGCTAAATAGAATTATGGTTTTAAGAAATAGAAGAGGTTTATATATAATGCATTTTGAAAATGAATTTACTACACTTAAAAACTCTTACATTTTTCTTCCTTTTAGTTTATAATAAAATATTGTCATATTATTTAGACAATGAGGAGATCCAGTAAATATATCAAAACTCTTGCATATAGTCGCTTCCCTTCCTTCTACAGTTTTTCTTTTATTGCTTTTCCCCCTGCTAGATCTGAAAATCAGAGGATGGAGCTAGTAGGGAATTCACTGTGTTCTTAGTACGGGCACACACTAAAACCTGAGGTAATATTGAGAAGTGAATCACTGTGAACTGATTTCATTCTGAATAGCATATGTTTCTTTGCTGCATGTTTATATAAGCCTTACCTTAAGAGGCAGAGAAATTAGGATTGTGTGGGTTGGGCCTCCAGAAGAGAAACTAAATGGAGTCTATTCAAAATCCTCAGCTCTGGTTTGTACTTGAAGCATCTGATGGTAAAAAAGAAAAAAAAAATAGACACTGTGGTGGGAAGTAGGACTGGAAATTAATGGTTATAACCCCAAGAACTATTTATCTTGATATTTTAGTGTTTAAATTTTATAGCAGTAAATAGAGTAGGAACATAAAAAAAGACTGTGCTTTTTTATTGACTTGAGTAACAATCAGGGAAAATAAAATGCCTGTGAGTTTAAAATGAAAGTGGATTTGGTTTTGCTAATCACTGCTGGTAGTAAGCAGCTGGCTAGATGTCTTAAATCCCACTTTCAGAAAAGCCTATTTTCTATTGGTGATGATAAATTTTCCCCTTGCTTATACTTATCAGTGGGTGTTCAGTTGTCACAGTAGATTGGAAATGATTCAGTTCATTTCTTGGGTATTTTCAAAAGCAGGGAAGGATTTCACACTCTGTGGAGTGCTGCTTCACCAGTAGTAAAGAATATTGCAGCTTATAGGAGTGATAATTAAAGCCAATAATAACCTAGAAGTCTCACAGGCTCTGCAATGTTGGGAGTTAGACTTTTTTTTTTTTTTTTTTCCACAATTGTATACCTGTCTGGTTGGGGACATTCTTGCTTGCTCCTGAGTCAGGCTGAAACTGCAATTCAATGGGAAATACTGAAATCATATTCCTAAGTTTTCATGTGAAGAGTTAAAATATGCAAATAAATATTCTAACAATGAAGGTAGTGTATAAAGGTAATATATTATGAAAAAATATCATGGAAGGCTATTTCAAGATACGCTGTACCATATTGTATATGTGTGAGAAAAAAGAAAAATATTCTAAGTCAAAAGAAGAAAGAAAATAAACTCACAAAGGAAAATGCCTACTATATTCCAAATATTGTAGAAGTAATATATTATAGTCCATACCAAGTAGATAATATAATATCTGACTGTTATAGGCATTTCCTCTTTATTTCTCCTATAAATTAATGAAAGAGCCATGATTTGTGATATTAAGAAACAAACCAGTTGAGGCATTCCAAATAAGATTCAGAGGAAGCAATTACATCGTCCAAAGAATAAGTGGGCAAGTAAGTGAGAGGCAGTTATACTAACTGCAATTATAGAGGGTTTACTGGAAAAACATTATGGAGAAACTAAGCATACAACAAGTTAAATCAGAACAGCAATAAAGGCTATAAACAAGTAGCAAAAATCTTTGATAGATTTTTTTTTTCTTTCCTGGCCTGCCTATTTAAAAGTACAACCTCTTCCACAGCTATCCTATTTCATGTTATTTTTTTTCTCTATCACTTATTATCAAAAGGTCACTTCTTTTACTTTCTTTTTAACTGCTGTACCTTCATCCTAGCACATAGTCAGAACTCAATTAATATTTACAAGAAAAGTGAATCATCTAACATGTCTATTCCCTTCTCATTAAGCCAGGATTCTATGATTAGGTTGGCAAATTCTGTTATTCTATTCTTACTTTTCTATTCTATTATTATTTTAATGGCAAAATCGCAATAACTTTTCCACCAACCTAATGATATAAAGTCATTTACTTTTGAAAGAGAAATTCATTGGGAACCATCATAACCACAGCCAAGACTTAGTAAAAGTATTGTTTTTGTACAATTCTAACATAATTACATTCTGAACTATGCAAGAGCTCAAAAAACATATTTCCTTAAAATATTATTTAGAGATTACTAGTCTAATGAGAGAAGTCTAATTTAGAGATTACTAGTCTAATGTAATAAGAATTTGTCTAATAGGAAAAATTCTTATTACAGAAAGATTAGGAAATGTTTGTAAGAATACATATTTTATAATAAGTTAGGAATAATTGATGTAATTGGTAGTTATAGTTGAAGGCAAATAGAAAAGCAACTTAAAAATAAAATATAACTAAAGTAAGACAGTATGAGTATAATAATAGTCAGGCTATATTTTTTGAATATGTCAACACATGCTAGGAAGAAAGGAAATGCTATTAAGAATGTATATTAGGAAAAACAATGTAAACAATTTCTTCTGATAAATACAGAAGATCAAACTTATTCTTTGCTTTTACTTTTCATAATTAGAGAAGTTTTGTTGAAGTACATATTTTGTAAGCTTAAGGGAAACATTTTACATACATATCAAATCCATTTAAAAGATACATGTAAACTGTACATTAACTGGACAATGAGACAAAAATAAGCAAAATAGCATCACAGCATAAAGATACAAGGTTTATATACAAACATCTAATTGGAAAAGAATAAGCATAAATGCTTTAAATTTCTTTAGTTTATAGCAGAGGAAAACTCCAGTTATATGATACTTTTGAAAGAAAAACTAAAGTCCGTACCATATACTAAGGTTGCAAATGAGAATCTACAATATAATTGATGGAAGAAGTGAAAAATACAACAGAAGAGAAATAATTCAATAACACCAAAACTATCATCCTATGTATTAGCTTTCTAGGGCTGCTATAACAAAGTACCACAAACTAGGTAATTTAGAACAATAGAAATTCATTATGTTGGAGGCCAGAAGTCCAAAATCAAAATATCAGCAGGGTTATATTCCACTGGAAGGCATTAGGAAAGAGTGTCTTCTAGGCATTGCTCCTAGCTTCTGGTAGCTTCAGACACTGGCTTGTGGATGGCTCTAGTCTCCTGTGTCCCTTTCCATGACATTCTCCCCAAGCACGGGTATCTGTGTCCAAATATTCCATTATAAAGACACTAGTCACATTGGATTTGGGACCACCCTATTCCAGTATGATCTTATTAACTAATTACATAGCAATGACCCCTATACCCAGATACAGTAACATTCTGAGGTACTAGGGGTTGGACTTCATCATATGCATTTCGGGGGAGCACAATTCAACCCATAACATCCTAAAAGTAGAATTAATGTGAGATATAATCTTAAACGATGAAAGTAAATTTATATTAACTCTAACCTATAATAATGTGATATTTTGGTGTCCAATAATGTAGTTGCAACATAAATCTAAAAAAAGATTTTGCCTTAAAAAGAAAAATCTAAAGAAATATATGTTCATTGAGAGATTTTTAGCAAACACCCCGCAGTCTATGACACATAAGGTGATCCAAATAGAGATCCAAATAGAGAAAACACACTTAATACAAAATAGCGGATATATAGTAAAACCATTTCATTACAAATGAAATAATTTTACTTTCTTTTCAGAATTTACTGAACATTTTAAAAACATGGAGTTATATTAGGTCATAAAAAAGGAATGAGTATAAAATGCTAGCATGTTGCAGACTCAGTTCAAGTAGCAGACACTGATATTGACACTATGTTACATAGAGTAAGAAATTAGTAACAAATTTTAAAATGTAAAACCTGACTCCAGAAGATTTACAAAAGTAGGTCAAAGGGTAAAATCAAATATGTTTAAAAGGTTAAGCCAAAGATGAATTCAGAAATGAATTCATGTCTTAAAATTAAAGACTTTATTAATCCTAAAGAAAAAATGACACAATCTAGCCAATAAATTTAAGAAAAAATAAGTGTAACTTCAAAAAAATTAACAATAAAAATATGGAAAATAAATAGAAAAAAGATTCAAAGTAAAATTAACTAATAATCTCTAGAAGTATCCTTTGAAGGAACAAGAAACACAGATAAAGTAAATTTTAAAAAGATTGTAATTATTTAAATTCTGTGTTTTCATTTTTCTACCTGAGTTGATTCTGAGTAAATTCAAACTATCTTTTTATTTTTTTATTTTTTTTTATTGAATAGGTTTGCATCTTTTTTTTTTATTTTTATTTTTATTATTATACTTTTAAGTTCTAGGGTACACGTGCACATTGTGCAGGTTAGTTGCAAATGTATACATGTGACATGCTGGTGCACTGCACCCACTAACTCGTCATCTAGCATTAGGTATATCTCCTAATGCTATCCCTCCCCGCTCCCTCCACCCCACAACAGTCCCCAGAGTGTGATATTCCCCTTCCTGTGTCCATGTGATCTCATTGTTCAATTCCCACCTATGAGTGAGAATATGCGGTGTTTGGTTTTTTCTTCTTGCGATAGTTTACTGAGAATGATGATTTCCAATTTCATCCATGTCCCTACAAAGGACATGAACTCATCATTTTTTATGGCTGCATAGTATTCCATGGTGTATATGTGCCACATTTTCTTAATCCAGTCTATCATTGTTGGACATTTGGGTTGGTTCCCAGTCTTTGCTATCGTGAATAATGCCGCAATAAACATATGTGTGCATGTGTCTTTATAGCAGCATGATTTATAGTCCTTTGGGTATATACCCAGTAATGGGATGGCTGGGTCAAATGGTATTTCTAGTTCTAGATCCCTGAGGAATCGCCACACTGACTTCCACAATGGTTGAACTAGTTTACAGTCCCACCAACAGTGTAAAAGTGTTCCTATTTCTCCACATCCTCTCCAGCACCTGTTGTTTCCTGACTTTTTAATGATTGCCATTCTAACTGGTGTGAGATGGTATCTCATTGTGGTTTTGATTTGCATTTCTCTGATGGCCAGTGATGATGAGCATTTTTTCATGTGTTTTTTGGCTGCATAAATGTCTTCTTTTGAGAAGTGTCTGTTCATGTCCTTCGTCCGCTTTTTGATGGGGTTGTTTGTTTTTTTCTTGTAAATTTGTTTGAGTTCATTGTAGATTCTGGATATTAGCCCTTTGTCAGATGAGTAGGTTGCGAAAATTTTCTCCCATTCTGTAGGTTGCCTGTTCACTCTGATGGTAGTTTCTTTTGCTGTGCAGAAGCTCTTTAGTTTAATTAGATCCCATTTGTCAATTTTGGCTTTTGTTGCCATTGCTTTTGGTGTTTTGGACATGAAGTCCTTGCCCATGCCTATGTCCTGAATGGTAATGCCTAGGTTTTCTTCTAGGGTTTTTATGGTTTTAGGTCTAACGTTTAAGTCTTTAATCCATCTTGAATTGATTTTTGTATAAGGTGTAAGGAAGGGATCCAGTTTCAGCTTTCTACATATGGCTAGCCAGTTTTCCCAGCACCATTTATTAAATAGGGAATCCTTTCCCCATTGCTTGTTTTTGTCAGGTTTGTCAAAGATCAGATAGTTGTAGATATGCGGCGTTATTTCTGAGGGCTCTGTTCTGTTCCATTGATCTATATCTCTGTTTTGGTACCAGTACCATGCTGTTTTGGTTACTGTAGCCTTGTAGTATAGTTTGAAGTCAGGTAGTGTGATGCCTCCAGCTTTGTTCTTTTGGCTTAGGATTGACTTGGCGATGCAGGCTCTTTTTTGGTTCCATATGAACTTTAAAGTAGCTTTTTCCAATTCTGTGAAGAAAGGCATTGGTAGCTTGATGGGGATGGCATTGAATCTATAAATTACCTTGGGCAGTATGGCCATTTTCACGATATTGATTCTTCCTACCCATGAGCATGGAATGTTCTTCCATTTCTTTGTATCCTCTTTTATTTCCTTGAGCAGTGGTTTGTAGTTCTCCTTGAAGAGGTCCTTCACATCCCTTGTAAGTTGGATTCCTAGGTATTTTATTCTCTTTGAAGCAATTGTGAATGGGAATTCACTCATGATTTGGCTCTGTGTTTGTCAGTTGTTGGTGTATAAGAATGCTTGTGATTTTTGTACATTGATTTTGTATCCTGAGACTTTGCTGAAGTTGCTTATCAGCTTAAGGAGATTTTGGGCTGAGACAATGGGGTTTTCTAGATATACAATCATGTCATCTGCAAACAGGGACAATTTGACTTCCTCTTTTCCGAATTGAATACCCTTTATTTCCTTCTCCTGCCTAATTGCCCTGGCCAGAACTTCCAACACTATGTTGAATAGGAGTGGTGAGAGAGGGCATCCCTGTCTTGTGCCAGTTTTCAAAGGGAATGCTTCCAGTTTTTGCCCATTCAGTATGATATTGGCTGTGGGTTTGTCATAGATAGCTCTTATTATTTTGAAATACGTCCCATCAATACCTAATTTATTGAGAGTTTTTACCATGAATGGTTGTTGAATTTTGTCAAAGGCTTTTTCTGCATCTATTGAGATAATCATGTGGTTTTTGTCTTTGGCTCTGTTTATATGCTGGATTACATTTATTGATTTGTGTATATTGAACCAGCCTTGCATCCCAGGGGTGAAGCCCACTTGATCATGGTGGATAAGATTTTTGATGTGCTGCTGGATTCGTTTTGCCAGTATTTTATTGAGGATTTTTGCATCAATGTTCATCAAGGATATTGGTCTAAAATTCTCTTTTTTTGTTGTTTCTCTGCCTGGCTTTGGTATCAGAATGATGCTGGCCTCATAAAATGAGTTAGGGAGGATTCCCTCTTTTTCTATTGATTGGAATAGTTTCAGAAGGAATGGTACCAGTTCCTCCTTGTACCTCTGGTAGAATTCGGCTGTGAATCCATCTGGTCCTGGACTCTTTTTGGTTGGTAAGCTATTGATTATTGCCACAATTTCAGCTCCTGTTATTGGTCTATTCAGAGATTCAACTTCTTCCTGGTTTAGTCTTGGGAGAATGTATGTGTCGAGGAATTTATCCATTTCTTCTAGATTTTCTAGTTTATTTGCGTAGAGGTGTTTGTAGTATTCTCCGATGGTAGTTTGTATTTCTGTGGGATCAGTGGTGATATCCCCTTTATCATTTTTTATTGTGTCTATTTGATTCTTCTCTCTTTTTTTCTTTATTAGTCTTGCTAGTGATCTATCAATTTTGTTGATCCTTTCAAAAAACCAGCACCTGGATTCATTAATTTTTTGAAGGGTTTTTTGTGTCTCTATTTCCTTCAGTTCTGCTCTGATTTTAGTTATTGCTTGCCTTCTGCTAGCTTTTGAATGTGTTTGCTCTTGCTTTTCTAGTTCTTTTAATTGTGATGTTAGGGTGTCAATTTTGGATCTTTCCTGCTTTCTCTTGTGGGCATTTAGTGCTATAATTTTCCCTCTACACACTGCTTTGAATGCGTCCCAGAGATTCTGGTATTTTGTGTTTTTGTTCTCGTTGGTTTCAAAGAACATCTTTATTTCTGCCTTCATTTCGTTATGTACCCAGTAGTCATTCAGGAGCAGGTTGTTCAGTTTCCATGTAGTTGAGCAGTTTTGAGTGAGATTCTTAATCCTGAGTTCTAGTTTGATTGCACTGTTGTCTGAGAGATAGTTTGTTATAATTTCTGTTCTTTTACATTTGCTGAGGAGAGCTTTACTTCCAAGTATGTGGTCAATTTTGGAATAGGTGTGGTGTGGTGCTGAAAAAAATGTATATTCTGTTGATTTGGGGTGGAGAGTTCTGTAGATGTCTATTAGGTCCGCTTGGTGCAGAGCTGAGTTCAATTCCTGGGTATCCTTGTTGACTTTCTGTCTCGTTGATCTGTCTAATGTTGACAGTGGGGTGTTAAAGTCTCCCATTATTAATGTGTGGGAGTCTAAGTCTCTTTGTAGGTCACTCAGGACTTGCTTTATGAATGTTGGTGCTCCTGTATTGGGTGCATATATATTTAGGATAGTTAGCTCTTCTTGTTGAATTGATCCCTTTACCATTATGTAATGGCCTTCTTTGTCTCTTTTGATCTTTGTTCGTTTAAAGTCTGTTTTATCCAAGACTAGGATTGCAACCCCTGCCTTTTTTTGTTTTCCATTTGCTTGGTAGATCTTCTTCCATCCTTTTATTTTGAGCCTATGTGTGTCTCTGCATGTGAGATGGGTTTCCTGAATACAGCACACTGATGGGTCTTGACTCTTTATCCAATTTGCCAGTCTGTGTCTTTTAATTGGAGCATTTAGTCCATTTACATTTAAAGTTAATATTGTTATGTGTGAATTTGATCCTGTCATTATGATGTTAGCTGGTTATTTTGCTCGTTAGTTGATGCAGTTTCTTCCTAATCTCGATGGTCTTTACATTTTGGCATGATTTTGCAGTGGCTGGTACCGGTTGTTCCTTTCCATATTTAGCGCTTCCTTCAGGAGCTCTTTTAGGGCAGGCCTGGTGGTGACAAAATCTCTCAGCATTTGCTTGTCTGTATTTTATTTCTCCTTCACTTATGAAGCTTAGTTTGGCTGGATATGAAATTCTGGGTTGAAAATTCTTTTCTTTAAGAATGTTGAATATTGGCCCCCACTCTCTTCTGGCTTGTAGGTTTTCTGCCGAGAGATCCGCTGTTAGTCTGATGGGCTTCCCTTTGAGGGTAACCCACCCTTTCTCTCTGGCTGCCCTTAACATTTTTTCCTTCATTTCAACTTTGGTGAATCTGACAAATATGTGTTTTGGAGTTGCTCTTCTGGAGGAGTATCTTTGTGGCGTTCTCTGTATTTCCTGAATCTGAACGTTGGCCTGCCTTGCTAGATTGGGGAAATTCTCCTGGATAATATCCTGCAGCGTGTTTTCCAACTTGGTTCCATTCTCCCCATCACTTTCAGGTACACCAATCAGACGTAGATTTGGTCTTTTCACATAGTCCCATATTTCTTGGAGGCTTTGCTCATTTCTTTTTATTCTTTTTTCTCTAAACTTCCCTTCTCACTTCATTTCATTCATTTCGTCTTCCATTGCTGATACCCTTTCTTCCAGTTGATCGCATCGGCTCCTGAGGCTTCTGCATTCTTCACGTAGTTCTCGAGCCTTGGTTTTCAGCTCCATCAGCTCCTTTAAGCACTTCTCTGTATTGGTTATTCTAGTTATACATTCTTCTAAATTTTTTTCAAAGTTTTCAACTTCTTTGCCTTTGCTTTGAATGTCCTCCCGTAGCTCAGAGTAATTTGATCGTCTGAAGCCTTCTTCTCTCAGCTCGTCAAAGTCATTCTCCGCCCAGCTTTGTTCCGTTGCTGGTGAGGAACTGCGTTCCTTTGGAGGAGGAGAGGCCCTCTGCTTTTTAGAGTTTCCAGTTTTTCTGTTCTGTTTTTTCCCCATCGTTGTGGTTTTATCTACTTTTGGTCTTTGATGATGGTGATGTACAGATGGGTTTTTGGTGTGGATGTCCTTTCTGTTTGTTAGTTTTCCTTCTAACGGACAGGACCCTCCGCTGCAGGTCTGTTGGAATACCCTGCCGTGTGAGGTGTCAGTGTGCCCCTGCTGGGGGTGCCTCCCAATTAGGCTGCTTGGGGGTCTGGGGTCAGGGACCCACTTGAGGAGGCAGTCTGCCCGTTCTCAGATCTCCAGCTGCGTGCTGGGAGAACCACTGCTCTCTTCAAAGCTGTCAGACAGGGACATTTAAGTCTGCAGAAGTTACTGCTGTCTTTTTGTTTGTCTGTGCCCTGCCCCCAGAGGTGGAGCCTACACAGGCAGGCAGGCCTCCTTGAGCTGTGGTGGGCTCCACCCAGTTCGAGCTTCCCAGCTGCTTTGTTTACCTAATCAAGCCTGGGCAATGGCGGGCGCCCCTCACCCAGCCTGGCTGCCGCCTTGCAGTTTGATCTCAGACTGCTGTGCTAGCAATTAGCGAGACTCGGTGGGTGTAGGACCGTCCTAGCCAGGTGTGGGATATAATCTTGTGGTGCGCCGTTTTTTAAGCCTGTTGGAAAAGCGCAGTATTCGGGTGGGAGTGACCCGATTTTCCAGGTGCTGTCTGTCACCCCTTTCTTTGACTCGGAAAGGGAACTCCCTGATCCCTTGCGATTCCCAAGTGAGGCAATGCCTCACCCTGCTTCGGCTCATGCACGGTGCGCTCACCCACTGACCTGCGGCCACTGTCTGGCACTCCCTAGTGAGATGAACCCGGTACCTCAGATGGAAATGCAGAAATCACCCGTCTTCTGTGTCGCTCACGCTGGGAGCTGTAGACCGGAGCTGTTCCTATTCGGCCATCTTGGCTCCTCCCCCAAACTATCTTTTTAAACTTTCATTATAATCCTTGTGTGTGATTGAACTTATAAATGCAATGAATGCCTTTCTGGAAAATAGAAATAACTAGAATAGACTCTAAAAATAAGAAGCTAATAATCTTGGAAGGAAATACTTCTACAGAAGACCATGAAGGAAGAGGATTCTTCAGGTGAGTTCTTTCACTCTTGAGAGCATAATTATTATTATTATTGCTATAATGTGTCACAGAAAATGAATAAAATGTGAAAAAAGATACAGAAATTTTTTTAGTTATGTTAATCTTTATACAGTTTACATAGAACCAAAAAACAATCAGCATTACTATTTATATAAATTATAATATATACTTATATATTTTATATATATGTGTGTGTGTGTATATATATATATAATATATATATATGTGAATCTTGCCACAAGAAGAACTGAATTATACCTGCACTGTATCCATTACCGTCACTTCTGGTTACAGTATCTTGCTTTGTTTTATTAAAAAAATCTTTGTTGTTATGTTATCTTTGAAGCTATCCAGTCAGCATCCCCTACTGTTTTGTCATAAGAATGGACAAATGACCAAATATGTTCTATCAGACTACTGCATTTTTCTTGGATATGTTGATTCAATGAAGGTGAAATATTTCACCCAAGTAGTGTTAAGCATAATATTTTCTCATATTTAATACAATAAAAAAGAGATACACTGTTTCTTTGTGAATTGCAAGATTTAAAAAGCTTTGTAGACTTCAAGTTGTTAGAAGCCATCTTTCTCCTCTTATGAAAGAACACTGCAAAATAATTAAGTCAATACACACAGAGCATTATAACCCAGTAATGGAAATTGTGATAATGCCTGCATGAATCTAAGCTCCTGAATTCAGTTATGAGGTACAAGCGTGTCTACCCTTAGAATTCACTATGTGGCATTCACTCCCCACCTGCTTTTTCTTGATAGCATCTTGCAACTGAGTCTCTATTACTTGAAACCAGAAACAAAAAATATATATGACAATTACAATTCACTAAAATTAAGTAGGATTTACCTTGGAAATTCAGTGATAGTTTGTTAATTAAAAATCTATTAATATGTGTCAATAAGAAAATTAGAAAATATCACCTAAGGAGTTCCTGAAGTTCATTTTATAATCTGCAGTGGAATCCTTTAATAAAATTAACTAATTTAAGAAAGCGGGAATGTAGGGGTATTTTCATAAAATTATATAAAATATGTACCTCAAGCCAAAAGCTAACACGAAACATGGTAATTCACTAAAGATATACTCATGAAAACCAGGAAGAAAGTGAAGATGTCTGTAACTGCTGTTGTTATTTTATATGACTCTAAATGTTCTGGCTAACACATGAATAAATGAAACAGATATGAGAAATGAAACTTTTAACAAGCAAAGTGTTAAATTATAATTGTCTAACATCACAGTTATATATCTAGAATTTCTAAAGAGTCAACTGAGAATTACTAGATTTACAAAGACAGCTTTAAAAAAAACTGGATCTATGATAAATGTAATATTTCTTTTTGAATTGAGGGTGCATATGTATGGGAGGTGGTAGTCGGTCTGTGTGGATAAGCATTTTCGTTAATATATAGATAATATAGTGTGAGAAACCATCATCTATTTTGAAAAAAGCTCACTCCAGCATTCATATAATCCTGAACATTCCCCAGGATGAGTGCCTTTATATATCCTGTAAAACTGTCTTTCTTATGAGTCTCCACTTAACAATTCTGACCTTTTCATAGTTCCCCAAGCTGCCACAATTCTTCCTGCTCCATTATGCTTCAAATTATTCTCTTAATTTCCCAAATTAGAGCTAAAACTAGGCTGATTGTTTAACAAACTTTATCAAATGCTGAGGATAACATAAAGGAATTACAATGCATAAAATGAAACCCTAAAACCAGATAATCAGGTCTTACTCCTCCTAGAGTCCACTGGTTAATTTCCTCCCTGGGAGTATCCCCTCTCCTTGGATCTAGCCTGAACAGTAGTCTCTTTTTAAAAATCTCCCTCTCTAGACTCTAGATTCTAAGAACTCAACTTCCAGCAGAATAGCCCCCTCCACTGAAAGAAAAAAATATATAGTTCATAATATCACAGAGATGTCTCTGTGCCTGGAATGAATATCTAGTTCATGATTAAATGGAATGCTTAATTTCTCAATCAGAAGCATCCCACCATCCCAGATACAGGGCTTCCTTTAGATTTGCATAAATTAAAAGGATTGCTCATATTGGTTCCTCTAAAGAAGGGAGAATATTACTGAAAACCAAAAGCTTCCTCTACCTTTAAGTCCACAGGAGGAAGAAAATTCAGGCAACCTGAAAATCGCATTTTGCCTCAGACATCATCCATTATAAATGTATTCAGACCTATTTAGATTAATCTCACAGCAATCCCTTTCTAGTAAAACAAAATAAAATGTAAAAATAAAGTAAAATAAGTGATATTATATTCAGCAATAACTGGGAATGTATAATGTATTTTTTAAAAGCCAAATTGCATCAGGTACTCCCAAAAAAACAGCCAGCAAATAGCCATCTGAGGAAATCAGTGGGCTATGGAAATAAAAATCACAATACTTTACTGCAGAATATAAAAATAACTTGAATAATTTAAGATAGCACTAATATTTCTATAATTTTTGCCAAATTTAAGGTAATTTTAATAACAATCTCAGTCATATT
The DNA here is from genome assembly GCF_000001405.40 of Homo sapiens. Classification (NCBI taxonomy): domain Eukaryota; kingdom Metazoa; phylum Chordata; class Mammalia; order Primates; family Hominidae; genus Homo; species Homo sapiens. Next base: position 73,156,353 of record NC_000012.12, read on the forward strand.
GACATCTGAAAAAAAATTAGCTAGAAAAATAAAACTCTGTGAAATTCATCTGGAAGAATTCCAGGTAATTTTAAACTCCAGGATATTGGAAAATGAGTTACATGGGAGAGCTAATTCTGTAATATATGAACTATGTTTTAACACCATACTGGTTAAAACTAGTTCTGCTGTTGGCTTAAGAATAGATAGGCAGTTAGCAAGACCACAACTGAAATACAAACTCTGGTCTGTATTTCATGTTTACATATATACTAAAATAAGTGGTATATCCAAGATTTTTCAATAAATAATTTTGAAATGAAGTTTATGTTAAAAAATCGGATTGTTTTCATGTCACACCATGCAACAGAATAAATTTCAAGTGGTTGATTATGAAACAAAAAAATATTAATCATAAAATGTGGAAAATTTTATTAGCTATAGAAAGAAGACAAGGTTGACTATATAAGCAAATTTAAATTAAAAACAGATGAAGACAGTACAATAGAATATGCAAAACAGTAGAAACACTAAACAACAGATTAGTGAATATTTTGCAGTATGTATGATATATAAGTAATGATATTAAAAGATAAAGAATTCATAAAATAATATATTTACAAAATAAAACTCCAGTAGAAATAATGAGCAGCAAACAAGCAAAGGCAAATTACATACACACAAGCAGAAATTAAAAATGTCTTATAATTACTCATAGAAAAACAATTAACCTTACTTCAAATCAGATATTTAAATACATAAAAAGGAAATATTTCTCAGGTATCAGTGTCCTTTATAGATAGATAGATAGATAGATAGATAGATAGATAGATAGATAGATAGATAACTTCTGGCAAGGGCAATGTAATTTATAAGCTGTACAACAATGATAAGATGTGAATGGGTGAGACTTTCTGTAAGACAATCTGGCAATGCTTATTACTAGTTTCAGGTATGTTTATACTCTTTAACTCAAGAGTTCCATTTTAAGTTTTGAAAAAGACTCATGGGAATCTATCTTAATGAAATAATCATAAATGTGGATAAAAACTACCCATAAAGTACCAAAAGTATGGATGTTTATAATAGCAAAAGAGTTAAATATAAAATAATGGTACAGAAATAGTGAAATCATGAAATAATATTAGCAGCATCTTATCATGGAAATTTAAGTATCATTAAAATGGTTTCCTGAAAAAAGTACTCAAGATATTATACTTGAATTTAAAATTGAGTTTACTACAAAATTGTGGCCTTTGTATTAGTTCAATTATAAGAAAAAGTTGCACTTAAAATGAACTGCAATTAATATACTCAGTTAACAATCGATGCCCTTCTTTCCTTTGCTACTTTTGTTCCTTTCTCCTCTTCATTTTTCTTGACTAGACTATAGTTCACAAACTCCATCTAATCCATTAACAAATCTTACTTCTATCTTCAAAAGATATCCAGAATCAACCACTTCCCACCATATCAGCTGCTACTGTATCACACATCTGAGCTGAAATTAACTCTTACCTGTATTATGACAATAGCTTCTTAATGTTTTCATTCTTTCACCCTTGTCCTCACAGCACTGATGACTGACCATAAGTAAGGTTCTATGTTTCCCCTTAACCGAACAATCAAATGGCTTCCCATGGCACTTGCAATAGAAGTCAAATTCCATACAGTGATCTAAAGGGTCCAGTGAAATTTCCTCACTTCTCTAATGACATATTCTACTGATTTCTTATTTCAACCTTCTTTTGATTTCTTATCTATAATGAGTCTGTTCTTCATGGAACATCCTTCCTTAACATCTCTATAGGCTCTTTTCAGCACTTTCATCAGGTGTTAACAGTTCCTTGCCTGACAAGTACCATTCTGTATTCCCCTTATCTTGTTTCTCACCATTTATTTATACATTCCTCACCCTTTTGCACATTCAATTGTTTTGTTTGCTGGTTTATTTTTTTTTTCATGCTAGAATATAAGCTCTCTGAGGGCTATAAATCCTAGACCTAGTGGAGCATATTGCTTAGATTTTTTGCTCAATAATTATTTGTTGAATGCATGAATCAATATATCTCACATGACATGTTAGTATACAATACAAGCCAAAAAACATTAGTGCAAAAATTCTGCAGGGTGAAGCAGAGCTTAACAAGCAATAATAATTGTGATATAGCTCATATCATTCTAGGGTAAATAATAAAATGCTTATGAAGCAATAAACACATAAAGGCATTCAAAACATTTACACCTAAGAACATATTTTGCATGGGTTCCAAAAGTCTATATGATAACTACTCTTTCAGATTCTCAGACATGTACCAGTTGCTCTTTATTTTTCTTATCAACTTATGATGAAGACATTGAACTCTATAAGGATTATTTCTAGTCTATCAAAAATAAACACCACTTCTCAAAATATAACTTTAGTGATAGCATTAAAAATGCTTTAAAAATGCAATATAACCACTTTATTTAAAAATGCCATTATACTTCAAATATTTCCAGTTCTTAATACCAGATATATTTCCAGATGTTGTTCCATGTTCAATATAATTTTGTTTTTTCCTCAAATCTTTTGTAGAGTGCATCTTTATTATAAGTATATGTTTGAGAATCAAATTATTTTAGACCTAATATAATCTGCCAATCTTAAATCAATAGTTTATAATGGCAAAATCAAAATTTTAGATACACAGTTACATATTGACAAATAATTGATACATTGTGCAGCATTGAGTCCTTCTATTTTCTTTTTCTTTTTTTTTTTTGAGACGGAGTCGGAGTCTCTCTCTGTCGCCCAGGCTGGAGTGCCGTGGCGCCATCTCGGCTGACTGCAAGCTCCGCCTCCTGGGTTCACGCCATTCTTCTGCCTCAGCCTCCCAAGTAGCTGGGACTATAGGCGCCTGCCACCACGCCGGGCTAATTTTTTGTATTTTTTTTAGTAGAGACTGGGTTTCACCGTGTTTGCCAGGATGGTCTCGATTTCCTGACCTCGTGATCCACCCGCTTCGGCCTCCTAAAGTGCTGGGATTACAGGCGTGATCCCCTGCGCCTGGCGAGTCCTTCTGTTTTCAACATGTGTGAACATAAGTCATATTAGAAGAAAAACCTCTTGGTGAATATACTTTTGATTTTACTAAATCCTATTTCTTGAATCATCTGATTCGGGTGCAATCTTTATTTTCCTAAAAAGTCTAGCAGTTTTTTAGGTACATGCATAAAAGAGTAAAAGGCTCCTTTCTTTTACCTATAACCATTCCTTACACATTCCACATGGTTACTGGTCAGTCCTTTAGGACCGGTGCTATTCAATCATCTTAATAAATCTACACTATTATTATATTAGTTTCTTTGAAATAGCTATATTTAGGTTACCTCAGGTAAAAAAGATTCAAAGTAAAGAAACACTGGATTATAAAAGAGGTATGAAAACTATCTTGCAAAACTTAATGAAAAACAGCATCCAGTATCAATTAGAATCTAATAGGAATTCCAGTAGTTAGATAGCAGCTCCGGTAACTAAGTAGATTTGCCAGTTGTCCTTGAAGAATCCATTTCAACAGGTGTAACTGAGATGCAAAAAACATTCCAAATGTTAGGGTATATTAAGGTCTTATACTGTGTCCAGATTCTGAAGGGCTGTGTATCATTTACTTACTGATGCATAAAAAAATCACCCTAAAACTTAGTGGTTTAAACCACAAGATTCTATTACTGTATATGAGTCTTTGTCTAATCTAGATGGTCCTGCTGTTCTAGGTGGTTTTGCTCATCTGGGCTGAGCTTGCCTGACCTTGGCTGGGCTCACATATGCAAGTGTGGTCAGATGATAAGTTGGTAGGGACTCCCTGGTCTAGGATAGCCTCACTCATATGTTTAATGTGAGGTCTGCTTTCAACTGGGTCAATGGAAATGACTCATCATCTAATAAGTTTATTCATATGATGATGTCAGGATACAGAAAGATCAAAAGCATGCAAAGTCTCTCTTGAGGCCTGGATTTGGAATTGACAAACTGTTACTTTTAGAGCTTTCTACCTAACAAAGCAAATCCCTAGGTGGAGAAAAAGAGCTAAAAAAATTTTCTTGAGAAAAAGAGCTAAAAAAATCACATTACAAAAGGTATGAAGATAAGGAGGATGAAGCCTTGTCGCCCTTTAGTAATCTATCACAGAGAAGAAATGACAGATTATGATTTGGGGAATGAATGAGTAATGAAAAGTTGTTTCATCTTTCTGTATGCAGAAGGACACACAATTAAACTATGAGATTAACCTGTGGGCAATAAAAAATGGATTGGAAGTGGGAATAATAAACTGAAGGTGAGAACAGTAATGATTGTATCTTTCTATATATTTAAATGGTAATAAGGACTTGAATTCAGTTCAAATGTAAAGGAATGGAAAAGCTGATTTGTAAATGTAGAATTGACCAAAGCATGAGACTTCCAAATGAGAAGAGAAGAATAAAACCATTGTTCTTCTAAGTTCTCACACTTTATAACTGGATACAGACTACTGCCAAAATCCAAATATGAAATTGAAAAAGAAAGGATATAATTTTGAATAAAATTTCATATGACTGAATATGATCATTTGGCATTTTATTTATTTAGCTCATGGAAAAGGTGTAATTCCTGCTGGAAATTACCATAATTAGTTAGTAACATAAGACTGTAATTCTTTTACAAGACGTACAATCCTTTCAAAAACTTTATGTTGCTCCCATCTCCTCCTCTTAGGTGCTTTTTCTTTGCATGAGAAAATCCATTCCTTCTATTCATGAGCTTTTCAATCAGATCAATATTCTTCATTATATGCTCCTGAGAACTCTCAAAATTGAATTATCGTCTGGAGTGAATTTGTATAACTTTGAACTCATGGACTGAGAAAGGGCAAAAATATTTTCCAAATCTATACGTATTTTCCCTCCTTAGAATTTCTGCTTCCTTCAATTTATCAATAACTGCTTCCAGAGCCGATACAACTTCTTATTTATAAGTCTGTGTTCCCTTAGCAAACACTGTATCTTGTCTATTTCATTATTTATGTCATAGAATTAAGAGGGCAAATAAGTATCCTTTCCTCAAATTACCTTATGTTCTTACATCATTTGCATGTTCTTTTCTTAAAGAGTTCTAATTTCAGTCTTCAAGTATCTGCTCATATCTGAAAATAATATTGTTCATTTATTGAACTCTTTCTAGTACAAGGATGTTTTGGGTTGAATTGTGGATCCACAAAATTCATATGTTGAACTCCTAAACCTCTGGACCGAAGAATGCCACCTTTTTTGGAAATAGGGTTGTTGCAGATGTAATCAGTTAAGATGAGTTCACTAGGATGAGATGTAATATAACATGACTGGTGTCCTTATAAGGAGGGAAAATTTGGATAGAGGCATGGACATGGTGAGAATATCACATAAAGATGAAGGCAGAGATCTACAAACCAAAGATCACCAAAGAGCTCCAGTAAATCAATGGAAACTAGGGAAGAGGAATGCAGTCGATACTCAGAAGGAAGTCTCTTCAAGATTGCAACATAAAAACTATGCTTGAGTTTTAGCGTGATAAGATTACAATATCATCTCTTACCTCAATATCCAGCCTGGTGACCTACTGTGTAGATTTTGAACTTGCCAGCTCCACTGCCAATTCCTTAAAATAAATATTCAATTTCTTAAAATAAATATCTTCTCTAGACAGTGTGAAAGAAAAATAAATCTTGGGGCCCCAAAATCACTAAGCTGAAGGGAAAAGTCAAGCTGGGAACTGCTTAGGGCAAACCTGTCTCCCGTTCTATACAAAGTCATCCCTCTGATAGCTGTGATAGATGCATATCTGATTGCCTCATGTGGAGAGGCTAATCAGAAACTCAAAAGAATGCAACCATTTGTTTCTTATCTACCTATGACCTGGAATCCCTCTCTCTATTTCAAGTTGTTCTGCCTTCACCTTGAGTTGTCCCACCTTTCCAGACTGAACCAATATGCATCTTACACATATTGATTGATGTCTCATGTCTCCCTAAAATGCGTAAAACCAAGCTTTGTCCCGACAACCTTGGGCACATAGGCAGAACCTCCTGAGTCTGTGTCACAGCATATGCCCTCAACCTTGGCAAAATAAACTTTTTTTTTTTTTTTTTTGAGACAGAGTTTCACTCTTGTTGCCCAGGCTGGAGTGCAGTGGCGCGATCTCGGCTTACTGCAATCTCCGCCTCCCAGGTTCAAGCGATTCTCCTGCCTCAGCCTCCCGAGCAGCTGGGACTACAGGTGCCTGCCACCATGCCCAGCTAATTTTTTGTATGTTTAGTAGAGACGGGATTTCACCATGTTGGGCAGGCTGGTCTCAAACTCCTGACCTCAGTTGATCTGCCTGCCTCGGCCTCCCAAAGTGCTGGAATTACAGGTGTACTGTGCCCAGCCGGCAAAATAAACTTTTGAAATTAACTGAGACCTGTCTCAGATTTTGAGGGTTCACATTTTGGTTACAATGAAGGGATTCTGAGTGGAGATGCCCCTGACCTTTGACAAATCTCCTATTGGTGCTTGGTACCAGCATGAGCTGATTTAATGGCTCAAACCAATAGGACAATTTGCTGAGGTCTGGGAGCACCCCCTCCAGAGAATCCCTGATCTCCCGAAATTTGGTCAAGATCTAAAGTTTATTTTGCTGTACAACTCACCCCCCTCCCCTCTAACTTTTTTTTTTTTTTTTTTTTTGGAGTTTACTTGCTTTCAACAAGAAAGGCAAGATTTCCTGTTTCCATAATGATGGAAGGCAGGTAATTCCTTTATGGAGTTTGAGCTTGCTCACAGCAGGAAAGATGAGTTCAAGTTTTTTTTTTTTTCCTTCTTCTAGGATGGTAGAAAGCAATCTTCAGCCTGAGACCCATTCCTAGGTAAGTAGCTGAATTGAGTTTTTTTTCTTGGTTAAAGTATAACAATCAACTGGTCTTAATTTCTCCTTACCATTAGAGCACTCAGTGATCATATGGCTGGGTTTTTGTTATTGTTTTTGTTGTTTGTTCCAGTCTTTTCCCCATCAGATTTGACCAACTCTACCTGACTTGGTCAAATCTGAGAATTCCAAATTATGGGTAACAAAACCTTTCTAATTTGGCTAAAATTCCTTGCAGCTGCAAAAGAGCAAGAAAACACAGCAACAACAAAAACAAAACCATGTCCTTGGTTTCTCTGTTTGCTTCCTGTCTTAAAAAAAAAGGTTCTTTCATTTACTTTTTTTCCACCCCATATCTCCTTTCCCTTTTGCCATCTGCTGTACCAAAAAATCTAGAGACGGCTTCTAATGACTTGAACCTCTTTAAAGAATTCAGAACAAAGGTGCCATTCACCCATTGGGGTGTTCTGTTTCCTCTGTGGAGTTTCAAGAGTCATGGGGAGATTCTTCTTAGGTCTAAACCTCTGTTTTCCTACATTGAATAATCTGGGCTCTTTGACTTTGGGGGTACCAGAGATTACTTAATACTGTGAGAGGATTTGACCTTGGCACTTGTAATGGCAGATGAGAGCTACAAAGTAGGGGTGGTTGTGCATAGTTTACAGAAATTGGTCTTAGCTGTTTTTTTTTTTCTCTCCTAGGAAGTTGTTGTTTAAGGATCCTAATTCTAGTTCTGAGATGCATTCTAAAGAGTCATCTCTATCGCTTTTTTCTCCCAAAATTAATCTCCATTTGGCTTGTCTGTGCACATTTCTATGAGCAACTGAACTGTTGTTTGCATAGGTCAATGAGAGACTGAGTTTTCTCAGCTCAAAAGAAATAGGCATATCTTTCTCCCAGCTGAAAGGTGCCCCTGGGTGACCAGGGGCCTCGTGGGAGTGTCTGGGGGGTTGATCCCTGTGACATGCAGCTGCCCTACAGGGAAATCCCAAAAAAAAATTAATTAAAAAAAGGCTTATCCAGGAAATGCATATAAAGGCTGATCACCTGGCATTTTGAGTCCTCTCAGAGATTATAGACCTCTGGAGAGAGAAATTGAGACACACAAGAGGGTGGAAACAACTCAGTGGTGATGCAATGTGGAGTCCTGCCCACAAAGAGCATACATCCACCCACCACACAAAAACCCTAGGCCACAACTCAGTTCCTCCTTTTTTTAAAAAAGTGGGAAACAAATAATCTAAGAATGAGGAGAAAACAAGGATAATGACAACCTTTTGAGCACTCCGTAGGTTTTATGGCACTTCTACTTGCCAGAGTTTATGTAAAATAGAAGTAATATAGTCTTTGTGCACATTTATTTTAAGGAAAAAGAGCCCTAAGGTCAGCCAGCAAACTATAGAGTTCCTGAGTTCTCCTTTTCTCTATTTTCTCTTCTGCCTGCTTTAAATCTGCTGTTATTTTTCTATTAATATAAAAACCACTGTTGGGATTCAACAGGTTATTTTTGCAAGCTGCTGAATTTTATATTTATCTCATGGCTAAAGTTCTGAAGTAAAAGCTATAGGAACTTCGTGTGTGTGTATATGTGTGTGTGTATATATTTAAAAGACTTTTATAATTTCTATAATTTTATGTTTAATTGACAACTCCATTTTAATTTTTCTTTAGCACACAGGACTTTTTCTCTCCATACTCTATGATGTAAATTTTGCTATTTGATTTTCACCTGAGTTGTTTCCTTTAATATGCAAATTTAAGGCTATTTAGCTAACAACTACCTAGGGTAATAAAACAGGTTGTCAAGAATTTGAAAGTTTAAGGTAGGAAAAAACAGGAGTTTTATGAATCTATAAGATGTACTTCTATCCACATGCCTAATACGTCTATGTATTTATGTGTTGTGTACACAGTGTTTCACTACTGATATATATAAAAAAGCTTTCATTAATTGGCTTAAGAAAATAAAAGCACTTGAATTAAATACTTTATCAGAAAAAAAACTGGTCATATGTTTTTTCATGCTTTCATTTTAATTCAATTATGTAAACTTAAGTAAATGCTTAACTTTTACTTAAGTTTATGTAACTTAAGTAAAATCTGTAATAAATAAGCCAGCATTAACATTATTGGTAAAGTAATATTAGAAATGTCTTAAGAATTGAAAACATACATTTTTGTTTGCACTTATTAATCAAGCAATTTTATACTTATCCTGCCAAATACTATAAAGTATCAAAATTTGGCATAGGGGTTAAAAACACAGAATAATCTTTGCTTGTGTAATCTTTAATAAATAAACATTAATATTAGTTTAATGAAAATAGCTACCTCTTGAATTTAGTTTAGATTACCATAACTTCTAATCTTGTGGGTGGTTTAGTCCATAAGCAGCAAGGTTTGTTTTGGAAAGGGATTGTTATTGTCTCTGTCCCAAAGCTAAACAATAAATTAAGTTCCTCCCAAAGTTAATTTTTCCTGTGCCCAGGAATGAACGAGGACAGCTTGGAGGTTAGAAGCAAGATGGAATCAGTTATGTCATATCTTCTTTACTGTCTGTTACAATTTTGCAATGGCCGTTCCATAACTTTAAACAATGACTATTGCAGTTTTCATAAATAATCTAGGTAAATGACTAAAAAAATAATTAGGCAAATGTAATGGGATAAATACATGTAGAAAAACTTGTCAGAATCTATAATCTAAAGTTATATTAAGCTAAATAATAGATATCTCATTATTTGGGCACTTTCCAATAAAAATGTATTTGTAGGAAAACATATTTTCTTAAACAAAGTGTGTCCTTTTAAAAGAGGTGAATAATTATTGTCTAATTCAAAGCTTATTTAAAGGTTATATATAAAACAAGGTAAAAGGAATGAGGATATAACAGGGTTGTAAAGAAAGTTATAAAAATAAAGTTTTTTTGTAAGAAAACTTAAAGGGAAATAATTTTATATGTGATAGAATCTGCTATGGTAGATTTAGTCCTAGAATAAAATGACTGGTTATTTAAGAAAGAGGGATGGTCAGAAAAAATTAGAAAATCCAAGCAGATCATGAACAATCTGTGAAAGTCATAGTAAAGTAAGAGGATTAAAAAAGAAAAAGCACAAAAACTTTTATATGATCAAGCTATTAATTAAAGGAAAATTATAATGGTCTTCCTAGAGATTGGGCTTGACGTAGGAAAAAACCATATAGAATAAATAATTGGTTAAAACAATAAAGTTTTCTTAAGGGAATGATTTACTCCTAATAAAATATGAGAGGTTTTAATTTTTTTAACCCAAAGTTTAACTTTTATTGCATCTCACCATTTTCTGTTTTCTCACCCATTTTAAACGGCACAAAATAGTAACACGGTCCTTCAACTCATTTTCAACTTATTAAGATTTTTTTCTTTGAGTCCTGTTTAATGTGTCCTAGTGCTAACAATGTTTTCTTAAAGTTCTAAAGGAAATGTTTACTTTCAACATAATATTTTGTGCAGAGCAGAAGGTCATTTCTTTTGTCTTTTGGTACCTGGCCTAGCAGATTTTACGTTTTATAGAAATATTTTCTCTGTCATTATTACTAAATTTTGGTTTGCTTAGGAAAAAAACTGTGATTGATATTTTTTAATTAAGGTTATTACATCCATGTGTCTTTCAGTATTTGCTTTCAAAGTACTTGTGACATTGAGATACAGGGCTTTGACTCCTAGGTCTAAAAAGGACACCAAGTCCTGCTAAATCTTAAACATTGACAGCAATTAAAACCTCATCTTCAGGCCGGGTAGAAATCCCAAACCAAATAAACTGTGTTCCTGAGACATAGGGCCAGAATTTAAAGGTATTCAACTCCTCAAGTCCCAGGAAATATCGCAGAAGAGATGGGTGTGTGAGATTGTGAGGGCAGACTTTGAGAGATAAAATAAATGCAGTTTCTCTATAAATTAATTATTAATGTCAAAGGCACATTGATGCAAGACCAGCATATGGGCCCTTATGTTAAGAAAACCTTAAGTTTTCCTTGAAGCATTAACTGACTCCTTAATAAAGGTTATAAAAGTTATTAAAGGTTTATGGAAGTTATATCTTATGGTCAAGATTAAAATTTTGTAGATTGTTTATAAAATTTTGAAAAACAAATTTATTTGGCTTTATGTTGTTTTTATTAGGGTTTATTGTTTAGAAAATTAAGTCTCTTCTCTCAAAGAATAAAAGTTATCAGCTTTTTAAAAAAATCCTTGTGTTATCACTTTGGTCAAATGAATGACTTATTTTACAATGACCTGTAATATCAACTGTTTTAAATGTTTGATAATTTTCCAAAATCAAATTATAAATTATATCTTCTCCTGGCCTAATTAATTCTTTAAGATATTGGTTTCCCTAAAGCCCAAAAATGACATAATTTGGCTTATTTAATATGAAAATCATATAGAAAACATTGTTAAATATGAAATAGTGTTTGCTTTTCTTTGGGCTGTATTTGTGTAAATATGTTATTGGTATTTGCTCCAAAATTATGAAAAACTCCTATAATTCTGATATCACTTAGTGTACATTATCAGTAGTAATTATAATTGTTATCTTAAATTATTGTGTGTCACAGAGGAAACAAATTTGTCACTTATGTCCTTGACTATGGCTGCCCTAAAATATTTTGTCATCCATGGACAATTGTTGTCTTGTTTTGCTCCTCTTTAGAAGGCAGTTTTATGACTTTTTAACGATTGCCATTCTAACTGGTGTGAGATGGTATCTCATTGTGGTTTTAATTTGCATTTCTCTGATGGCCAGTGATGATGAGCATTTTTTCATGTGTCTTTTGGCTGCATAAATGTCTTCTTTTGAGAAGTGTCTGATCATATCCTTCGCCCACTTTTTGATGGGGTTGTTTGTTTTTTTTCTTGTAAATTTGTTTGAGTTCATTGTAGATTCTGGATATTAGCCCTTTGTCAGATGAGTAGATTGCAACAATTTTCTCCCATTCTGTAGGTTGCCTGTTCACTCTGATGGTAGTTTCTTTTGCTGTGCAGAAGCTCTTTAGTTTAATTCAATCCCATTTGTCAATTTTGGCTTTTGTTGCCATTGCTTTTGGTGTTTTAGACATGAAGTCCTTGCCCGTGCCTGTGTCCTGAATGGTATTGCCTAGGTTTTCTTCTAGGGTTTTTATGGTTTTAGGTCTAACATTTAACTCTTTGATCCACCTTGAATTAATTTTCGTATAAGGTGTAAGGAAGGGATCCAGTTTCAGCTTTCTGCATATGGCTAGCCAGTTTTCCCAGCACCATTTATTAAATAGGGAATCCTTTCCCCATTTCTTGTTTTTGTCAGGTTTGTCAGAGATCAGATAGTTGTAGATATGCAGCATTATTTCTGAGGGCTATGTTCTGTGCCATTGGTCTATATCTCTGTTTTCGTACCAGTACCATGCTGTTTTGGTTACTGTAGCCTTGTAGTATAGTTTGAAGTCAGGTAGCGTGATGCCTCCAGCTTTGTTCTTTTGGCTTAGGATTGACTTGGCAATGTGGGCTCTTTTTTGGTTCCATATGAACTTTAAAGTAGTTTTTTCAAATTCTGTGAAGAAAGTCATTGGTAGCTTGATGGGGATGGCATTGAATCTGTAAATTACCTTGGGCAGTATGGCTATTTTCATGATATTGATTCTTCCAACCCATGAGCATTTGTTTGTATCCTCTTTTGTGGTGCTGGAGAGGATGTGGAGAAATAGGAACACTTTTACACTGTTGGTGGGACTGTAAACTAGTTCAACCATTGTGGTAGTCAGTGTGGTGATTCCTCAGGGATCTAGAACTAGAAATACCATTTGACCCAGCCATCCCATTACTGGGTATATACCCAAAGGACTATAAATCATGCTGCTATAAAGACACATGCACACGTGTGTTTATTGCGGCACTATTCACAATAGCGAAGACTTGGAACCAACCCAAATGTCCAACAGTGATAGACTGGATTAAGAAAATGTGGCACATATACACCATGGAATGCTATGCAGCTATAAAAAATGATGAGTTCATGTCCTTTGTAGGGACATGGATGAAGCTGGACACCATCGTTCTCAGCAAACTCTTGCAAGGACAAAAAACCAATCACCGCATGTTCTCACTCATAGGTGGGAATTGAACAATGAGAACACATGGACACAGGAAGGGGAACATCACACACCAGGGCCTGTTGTGGGGTGGGGAGAGCGGGGAAGGATAGCATTAGGAGATATACCTAATGTTAAATGAAGAGTTAATGGGTGCAGCACACCAACATGTCACATGTATACATATGTAAAAAACCTGCACATTGTGCACATGTACCCTAAAACTTAAAGTATGATTTAAAAAAATAAATAAATAAATAAAATAAATTAAAAAAGAGAAGGTGGTTTTATAATCAGCTATAAAACTCTAAAAGGTGCTCTTCAATACAAGTTTCTGATAACTTTGGAGATTGCGACATCAGAATAGAAGAAAAACTTTTAGGACTCACAGATAACTGAAATCTTCATAGCAAGCAGAATCAGAATTAACTATATGGACTGAACTAATGTTGCTGATCCTTTTTTTTTCTCAGAGTCAAGGAAACTTTTCTTTTCAGCTATTGACAGCTTTTTACAATTTAATATACTCCTATGAACAGAATTTAGAACATATTTCTTTCTCTCTACCTGATTTCTCCAGAATTTGGAAACTATTTGTAAGTATTCTTAACTTACAGCAAAATATAGTTATTTGCATAAGTGCAATAAGAATCTGTTTTCATTTATAACAGAAAACAATTGGAGAAACTGGTTATTTTACCAAAGCCTTGACTGGAATAGTATGCTTTCCTTTAAGGAACCAAACTTGACTTATGGAGCCAATAAAGGCCCCTCAGGAAAACTGGCCTCATACCTTGTCCACACAGTGCCTTACAGGGTTGCTGACCTGTGGTAAGTAAAGAATGTCACTTTCTGGGCCAGGCACAGTGGCTCATGCCTGTAATCTCAGCAATTTAGGAGGCCGAGGTGGGTGGATCACCTGAGGTCAGGAGTTCAAGACCAGCCTGGCCAACATGGTGAAACCCCATCTCTACTAAAAATACAAAAATTAGCCAGTTGTGGTAATGTGCACCTGTAATCGAAGCTACCCAGGAGGCAGAGGCAGGAGAATCTCTGGAACCCAGGAGATGGAGGCTGCAGTGAGCCGAGATTGTGCCACTGTACTCCAGGCAGGCTGGGCAACAGAGAAAGACTCTGTCAAAAACAAAAAAAAAAAAAGAATGTCACTTTCTGACAGGCCTAGGAACCCCAAGGTTATCTTTGAACCTTATGAGAAGAGGAATTCACCCAACTGATAGATATTTGATGGTACAAATCCACAGCTGGGCTTGGCTTCAAAAAGTCTTATCTGAGATTCCTTCTATGGAATAAAGTTCCATGAGAGATCAGACAAAACCTGAGACTGGAGACTCATTCTCCCCTAAAAATTCTTTCTCCAAAAGATTTTTAAAAAGTAAAGGGGTGAAACGTGAAAGGAAACTAAATCCTGGGTCCCCAAAATCACTAAGCCAAAGGGAAAAGTCAAGCTAGAAACTGCTTTGGGCAAACCTGCCTTCTATTCTATTCAAAGTCACCCCTCTCATCACTGAGATAAATGCGTATCTGATTGCCTCATTTGGAAAGGCTAATCAGAAACTCAAAAGAATAAAACCAATTGTCTCTTATCTACCTATGACCTGGAAGCCCCCTCCCCACTTCAGGTTGTCCTGCCTTTGCCTCAAGTCGTCCCAACTTTACAGACCCAACCAATGTACATCTTGCACATATTGATTGATGTCTCATGTCTTCCTAAAATGTACAAAACTAAGCTGTGCCCCTACCACGTTGGGTACATGTCATCAGGATCTCCTGAGGCTGTGTCATGAGTGCATGTCCTCAATCTTGGCAAAATAAACTTTCTAAATTAACTGAGACCTGTCTCAGATGTTCAGGGTTTACAACAGAAAATAGACAGATAGATGGACAGATGATAGATTTATATAATTAGATACATCTATATCTACAAGATATATGTACTGTCAGTTCTTTTTCTCTGGAGGACTCTGATTAACACAAAGAAATCTTGCAACTGGCTAATGAGAAAGCTATAATCATTCCCACTTTACACATGATAGTACTGATTTTTAATAATTTTAGTAACCTGCCCAAGGTCCCACAGCTCATAGGTGACAAAGAAGATTCAAGTCCAGGTCTCTGACTCCATAGCCCATTGTTGTAGGTACAGTGAAGGTCAACAAGATATCATTTCAAATTGTTCTCCATTTTTATTTATGTGACTTTTGGGAGAAGATTCCCCCATTTTTCTTTTGGTATATTGACAAAAATGCATTTTTTGGAACCCACATTTACAATTTCAGTAATGTAGATGATGGGAGGATGTAGTACCTACAAGATATTTTAGTCAAACCACTAAGATCATTAAACTTAGTCCTACTGTGAACTCCTGCCTGACCCCTACACATACAAGGAAATGCTCCTATAGAATATAAGAATTAATCACACCTTTCTCCACAAGTGCTTTAGACTAACCACATCAATTTCAATCTCAAGGTGAGTCTTTGCATCATTATCCTCTGTGTTTCCTCTGTTCAACTTGGAAGTCTTTATTTTATATATCTAAAAATATAAACTTATGCTCTAAGCAGCCTTCAGTATAAAATTAAGAATTACTTCCCTCTGACAGAGCTGCTGACAATCTGAGAACAAACTACACACAAACATACACGCAATGTTGTATATTCAGTCCAAGATTCTCATTCTGCAAACTAGACTTTTCAAGCACAGGTGCAGCTGCTGAGAAGCAGACATTTTAGATAACACAGACATTAAGGAACCAAATGATTAAATCAGTTTTATGTCTACACAGGAGATAAAATTTAATTAAAGGCAATTAAGTGACTTTTAAGTGGATTGCATGTAGAAAAAGCTATACCTTATCTTCCACACCTTTCAAATTTCTCTTGACCAATGCTGTCACTTATCTAGCCATGTATTTTCTTTCTATTTGCCATTGTGAATATCAGTCCTATGCGTAAGCTGACTCTGTGCAATGTTTTGAGTAAAAGAAGGAAAGTTTAAACATATTATACTAATC
This sequence comes from Homo sapiens, assembly GCF_000001405.40. Taxonomy (NCBI): domain Eukaryota; kingdom Metazoa; phylum Chordata; class Mammalia; order Primates; family Hominidae; genus Homo; species Homo sapiens. The sequence continues at coordinate 73,172,372 of NC_000012.12, forward strand.
TAGTGCCTGCAGAACTTTCAGATATGAAAAGAACTTTCAGATATAGCTTCAAACCTGGATTACTCAACTTCTACTTATACCAACCTTAGAAAATAACCCTTTTTGAATCTCACCTATTAAAAAACAGGGCAAATAATATAGAAAACAATGGATTTTATGAGAATTAAGTTCACAAACCTAAAGTTACAGAATGCACCTTCAATCAAAAGGTGGACTGAACCAAGGTGGTAAATCTTATTTTTGCTTACAAACACACAAAAAAATAAAACAGCAGCTGGAAATAAAAAGCTTAAATAAGTATCTGAGATTTTTGGCTCATAACAAGATGAAAATCCAACCCAGTGTGCTGGGTCTCTCTCCCAGCTTAAGACTGAAGGTGCCAGCGAGGAAATGAAAATATGTGGAATTGAGTAATTACAGTTAAGTGTGAGAAACTCCTGAGGATAAAAGGGCAAATGTGACCTGGTGTGGAAAGCAACACACTAGCTCAGGGTAGACAGAGTGAACTTTCATAATTTGGAATATGGTCAGGAAGTCTGGAGAGAACTTTTTATTTCTGCTCATTTTTTTCCTTTTATTTCTTGCTCCCACACAACTAGGGTAGACAAACAACAGCTGCAGTTGAGAACTGTAGTCAGTAGGGGTAACATCAAAGTCATGCCAAGACTGGCTGGAGAAAGAGAGTATAAAAACAAGTACAAGCTGATTACCAGGACCAGAGCATCTCTTACTCTTTCTTCCACTGACACTCTAAAAATGAGGTAAAATCAGTTAAGGGAGATAAATCATTCAAGAAAAAGAGTGCTTAGAAAGGTGATATGTTGTTTCACATTCAACCACATACATGTTACAGGAAGGAAGATGAAAGGATGCCATCTATGTTAGGAAAATAATACTTTCCCCCGAAACCACTGGATGATTTCTGCTTAGGACTCAGGGTCTATGACTGTTTCACCCAAGTACCTGTAACTCCAAGGATGTCTAGGAAAATAAGTGTATTTGTTTCTTATTGTGAGAAACTATATATCATTACAATTATATTCTTGCATGGCTGTACGTACTTTGTTGAACTTAAGAATAAAAATGGACTGTTTACGCTGTTTCTCTGTGTCTTTATTCTAAAGACTCTTGTGTACACATGAAATAAAATTTTGTATGGCTTATCTTCAATTAATCTGCCTTTTTTGAGTTGATTTTTTAGTGAACATTAAAAGGGCTAAGAAGAAATTTTCCCTTGGTCCTGATAACTGCTAGTAAGAAAAGGGAAGAAAAGAAATATCAGGTAACTAGTTAGAAAATGCCTAATATGGACAAGAATTCCAGTATAAACAAAAGAGAATTCAAAGTAAATAACATCATGAAGAATAATGAGTTTTTATAACTGATAGAAAGTAATAATTAGGAATTTATTCATGTAGATTAAGAAAGAAACTGCTGCTTCAAGACTCTTGCCTAGGTTGGCCCATTGATCTAGTATGCTCTTTCCTCAAATATCTACATGGCCTCCTACCGTCTCATTTCTTTCAGATTTTTAGTCAAAGCAGAACTGTTTAGAGAGATCTTATTCCCGCTCCCTGTAACTTTCTTTTTACTACCTGCTATAATTTTTATAGCACTTATTGGTATCTCATATTCTGTATGTTATGCTCAGTTGTTTATTTTCTACCTTGCTCCCTGCCATCCACAATGATATAATCTTCCCAATGGTAGACACTGCGTAGGTTTTGTTCATTGCTGTGTGTCTAGTGCCTAAAGCAGTGACTGACACAAAGTAAGGGCTCCATAAAGAGGAATAAATTGACTGCATAATTACAAATATGTATGCAGAAAAAATAATTTAGCAGAACAAACAGTAATTAGCAGAACTATGGATAAAGCCAAACCCCAACGCTCAAAGTTTTAAAAGACTCATCCTAGACATTTTATTGATCAAACAAATACTACATAAACAAATATGTAGAAGATTCAAATAACACAATAGGCACACACACCATACATCTTCAAATCATACTTTACTGAGGATACAAAATTGATTAAATCCTGGTTTACAATGATTTTTTTGCGTTTTTACATATTTAATTCCGAATTTTTTTCTTTTAAAAATGCCAAAGTTACAGAGAAGTTGAAATAATTCAAGTAACAGCTATCTATCTCATACTCACTAATTTGTTTTATATTTTACTTTACGTTCTGGGATACATGTGCAGAACGTGCAGTTTCTTTACATAGGTATACATGGTAATAATCTTATATGGACTAGATTTTCCATACAAAAGTCAATGGAGGGAGGGAGGGATGAATAGATGAAATACAGTCAATTTTTAGGGCAGTGAAACTATTCTGTATGATATTATAATGAGAGGTATATGTCATTATACATTTGTCAAAATAGATGTAAACCATGTGCAATGCAGAGTGAACTCTAATGTAAACTATGGACTTAGTTAATGATAATGTATAAACATTAGCTCAATTATGGTAAACATACCCCTCTAATGGAGAATATTAATAATAGGAAAAACTGAAAATGTGTGTCTGTTGGGATGTGGTGAGGGGTATAAGGAAATTCTACTTTCCTTTTAATCTTCATGTAAATTTAAAACTACTCTAAAAATAGTATCTATTAGAAAGAAAGGCTGAATGAAATTGAAAACAAGTTACAACTTCTATGTTTGCAATATTAATAACATATTCTTAAATATCTCTTGGATTAAAGATGCATTCATATGGAAACTTTAAAATAATGAAAATACTATATGTCAAGGTTTGTGGACATTACCAAAACATTTTCTTTTAGAATGGTGTATAATTTTAATTATGCTGATCACATAATAAGAAATGAAAAAAATAAGCCAACACAAGAAAGTAGAAAGACAAAGAAAGCAAGTACAAAGTAACAAGTAGAAAGATTTTTAAAAATTAGATGTTAAGGAACTAGAGAACAACCACAAAAACAAAGCAGTACAGAGTGTTAACAATGAAACAATGAAATAATACCAATAAAATAAATACAATTTTGGAAAACAGGATCAAGGAGAAAGGACAAAAAATTTAGAAATTCAAAACGCATACAAGAAAATAACTGTAGGCACAACTGGCACAATTATATTAGTAATAATGATGGGATAAAAATATAAAGATGCATATGTAAATTGATCTGTGTAAACATGAATATAGTATTTGCCAAGTGACATAGACAAATATATTAAATAATATACTTTTGAATATTGGTATCAGAATCATAAAATCTTTAAAAATCAAAATAACTAAAAGTAATAATCACATTCCTCACCCTTACTTTACAGATGATTTTTGCCATAATTTCCAGGCTTTGATAATTCCATATAATAAATCTTATGCGAGAAAATATACAGACAGGTAAAACATCATAGCATAGGGGGTTGGTGAGTGGAGGAGTGAGAAGCTAATATATTAATTTAAAGCCAGGTCAAAGTTTAATTAAAATAGCAAAGACAAAACTAAGCTAAAACAACTAACCTATTTCCAGTTATAAATACAGTGGTGAAAGCGTCAAACACAATTGCATCTAAATAAATCCAATAGAGTTTTACAAATAATATATCATAAAATAAGGTGTATTACAGAAATTCAAGAGAACAGGAATTTGAGTTTGTAGGTCCAACACATTTGTAGGTTATCATGTTGTGGAGGAAATGGAGGTAAGGGGGATAAAACAAAGGAAGACCCTGAATAACCAGTCGTAGCAGTACTCTGTAAAATGAGGTCTATGTTGAACTCATTTCTCTGCACCTTGGCTCCAGTTAGAATTTAAAATATTTAAAGAAAAAAAAACTAATTAGTAGCTGAAGTATCAAAAGGAGGAGGAAAAGTAGACAGAGATTACAAAGTAGGAGGAGGGATCTCTGATCTCTGTAGACAAAGAAATGTTAAACTTGAAGTAAAAGCTTTAATGTGTATCTGAATCACACACACACACACACACACACACACACACACACACACACACACACACACCTTAAGTCAGTTGCTTTCTAGGTGTAGTCCCAGACTGCAAGCATCAACATTATCTGGGAATTTGTGAACTCAGAATTCCTGAACCCCACCCAGGTCTTCTGGACCAGAATTCTGGTGGTAGAGCCCAGCAATGTGGTTTTAATAAAATGCATGCTAATGCTTCAAAACCCCTTCTTTAGAAGGTGAAGTTGGAACAACACAGTACAGAGAGTTGAGCCCATAGTTCTTGTTAGTGTTAGGGACCATACAATTTATTGTTCAATCTGTGACACCCTTGGGTTTAAAACAGGAAGTTAATAAAACCACCAGTGCCAGAGCACAGCGGTGTTCTACCTAGAACAGTGGAAAGAGTCCCAGTGAAAATTTAGCAATGAAAACATGAGTTTTGCATAAGCAAAAAGTTGAATTTGTAGGACTCATGTGATGCTATAACCCCTAGCCTTGATACTAACAGAAAGCTGATCTTGAATCAGTGAACTTCATAAAGACATGGTAGAGACAGCCACAAAACAGTGTCACAGGGAGAGAGTACGTTGAAGTGTTCAACATGGAGGTCTTCTAAGGTTGGATTCACAGGAAATACAAATCACAAGATGACATTATTGCCATGAGAGTAACAGGCTCGTGCTAACAATACAATTAGCAAGAGGACCTTAAATATATGTTTGAAATAGTCAAAGATAAAAATAACTAAATTCATAACCCAGGTAAAGGGGAGTTTGAAAATGGCTACTTTGAAAAAAACAACAATGTAGATTTTAGAAATTGAATTTACAGGATTTAAAATCAAATTATGGCAGGGCGCAGTGGCTCATGCCTGTAATCCCAGCACTTTTGGAGGCCAACGTGGGCAGATCATGAGGTGAAGAGATTGAGACCATCCTGGCCAACACGGTGAAACCCCGTCTCTACTAAAAATACAAAAATTAGCTGGGTGTGGTGGTGCGCGCCTGTAGTTCCAGCTACTTGGGAGGCTAAGGCAGAAGAATCACTTGAACCCGGGAGGCAGAGGTTGCAGTGAGCTGAGATCACGCCACTGCACTATAGCCTGGCGACGAGTGAGACTCCATCTAAAAAATTAAAAAAACAAATAAAATTATGTACAACAAAAATAATTGGATCATGATGATAATTTTGAGATTTCTTCCCAGCAATAACTGGTACAAAAGCTCCGGGATTCCATATATGTAGGGGTGTGTGTGTGTGTGCGTACATGAGAAAAAATATACACCTTTACTAATGTAGTTTAGTCAAATAACAGCTATCACTTTTTAAAAAATCACTGATTGTCATCCCCTTCCTAAAAACCAGGAAAAATATAATTTTAGATTCCGTTAACCATGCAAGACATAAATGAAGACTATAAAATTTATATCATTACTAAAGAAAATCATGCATTTTAATTTCTAGCTTTTTATATTTTTATTTTGCTTTTCATCGAGATGCTTTTTGAGGAAGCTTGCTAAACTATGATTAACTATTTGGAAGAAATAGTTATGCTGGTTTCATTCATGAAATACAAGCTTTCCTACCTTAGGCCTGTAGATTGCCTTGGGTAGTATGGACATTTTAACAATATTCTTTCTTCCAGTCCATGAACGTGAAATAGTTTCCCATTTTTTGTGTGTGTCCTCTTCAATTTCTTGCATCAGTGTTTTATAGTTTTCTGTAGAGACCTTTTCCTTCTTTAGTTAAGTTAATTCCTATGCATTTAATATTATTTGTGGCTGTTGTAAATAGCATCACTTTCTTGATTTATTTTCAGATTCTTTACTATTGGTATATAGGAATGTTACTGATTTTTGTATGTTGATTTTGTATTCTTCAACTTTACTGAATTTGTTCATTAGTTCTAATAGTTTTTCAGTGAAAACTTTAGGTTTTTGCAGATATAAGATCAAATTATCTGCAAACAAGGATAATTTGACTTATTTCTTTCTAATTTCAATGCCCTTTATTCTTCCTCTTGTCTGTTTACTTTGGTTAGAACTTCTAGTACTATGTTAAATAGCAGTGGTGAAAGTGGGCATCCTTGTTGTGTTCCTGATCTTAGAAGAAAGGATTTCAGTATTTCCCCATTCAGTAGGATATTAGCTGTGGGTCTGCTGCATATTGCTTTTATTATTTTGAGGTATGTTCCTTCTACACCAAGTTTTTAAAGGGTAGGGATTTTATCATGAAGATATGTTGAATCTTATCAAATGCTTTTCCGGCATCAGTTGGAATGATTATGTGGTTTTTATCCTACATTCTGTTGATATGAGGTATCACATTAATTGATTTTTATATGCTGAACCTTTCTTGAATCCCTGAAATGAATCCCATTTGGTCATGATGAATGATCTTTTTAATGTACTGTTGAATTTGATTTGCTAGTATTTTATTTAGGATGTTTGCACCAACATTTATCAGTAATATTGATATATAGTTTTCTTTTTCTTATGTTTCTTTTTCTAGTTTAGGTATCAAGGTAATACTGGCCTGTCAGCATAAGTTTGGAAGTATTCCTTCCTTCTCTATTTTTTTGGAATAGTTTGAGAAGGATTGGTATTAATTTTTCTTTAGCTATTTGATAAAATTCAGAAGTGAAGCCATTGGGACCCAAACCTTTCTTTGCTGGGTGTGATGGTTAATACTAAGGTTAATACCTATTAAAGTATCATTGACATTCTTCATGGAACTAGAGAAAATTATTTTAAAATTCGTATGGAACCAAAAAATGAGCCCAGATAGCCAAGGCCATCCTAAGCAAAAAGAACAACATTGAAGACATCATGCTACCTGACTTCAAATTGTACTACAGAGCTACAGTAACCAAACAGCATGACACTGGTACAAAAACAGATATATACACCAATGGAACAGAATAGAGAACATACAGCCATCTGATCTTTGACAAACCTGACACAAGCAAGCAATGGGGAAAGGATTCCCTATTCAATTAATGGTGCAGGGATAGCTGGCTAGCCATATGCAAAAGATTGAAACTGGCCTCTTCCTCACACCATACACAAAAACTAACTCAAGATGAGTTAAAGACTTACATGTAAAACCCTAACCAATAAAAATCCTGCAGGTCATGTTTTCCTGGATCGTCGCAATGCTTGTGGATTTTCAACTGTGTCTGGGCATTAAAGAGAGGTATATACTGTAGCCTCCCAGTGTTGGTGGATCCCAGGAACACCCGTCCTTCTTGGAAATGCTTTCCAGGTATTTGGAAGGACTTGGGTGTTGTGATCTAAACCATATCTTATTAGGGGATGCCGCAAGCCTAGTAATGCTGTGATCCTTGCAGACTTATAGAAGTATCATCTTAATAGCCTTGGAGAAGATCCAGAATTCTCTGGATTACCAATCAGAGACTCTTGCTCTCTTCCCTTACTTTTTTTTCCAAATAGAGTCTCTTTCTCTTCTCTGAGCTGCAAGTACCCCTGTGGCTACCACCACTGCTACTGTTCTGGGTCAGAACTGAAGCCAGTACAGCACTGGGACTTATGTACTAATGCCTGCTGTAACCACTACCTGGCTCCACCTGTATTCACTAAAGGTCCTGGGGCTCTCAAGTCAGTAGGTGGCAAAGTCAGTTGTTTGTGTCCTTCCTTTCATGGTGGCAAGGTTCCCCAGGCCCTGGATGGGTCCAGAAGTGCCATCTGAGAGCTAGGGACTGGAATAAAAAGACCTTAGAAGTCTACCTGATGTTCTATTTTACTGTAGCTTAGCTGGCTCTCAAACTACATGATGTAGTCCTTCCCACTTTCCCCTCACCTTTCCCCAGGCTGAGGAGCCTCATCTCATGGCCACCAACACCATAGACCCACATGAAGTACTTCCAGGCTACTTCTGATGTTCACTTAAGGCCCAAGGGCTCCTTACTCAGCTTGTAGTGCTCTCTGGCCCAAGACAGGTCCAGAAATGTGGTTCAAGAGCCAAGACCTGTAATGGGGGGCCCTGAGATCTCACTTGGGTCCCCTATTCCCCTATGTTTGAGCTGGTACCTAAGATGCAAGACAAAGTTCACTTTACTTTGTCCTCTGCTTTTTTCAAGCAAAATGAGTCTCTTTCCATAGCCACCACAGCTGGGAATGTGCTGAGTTTCACATGAAGCCAGCAAGTTTCAGGGGCTCACCCAAGGCCCACAGCATTCTATATGAGTATTGCTGATGGTTATTCAGGGCTCAAGGGCTCAGTAAGCAGAAGATAGGTCCTAACAGGACTCAATTTTTCCCTTCAAGACAGCAGGTTCCCTTCTGGCTTTGGGTATGTTAAGAATAGTCACCCTGGAGCTAGGGCCTGGAAAAGGGGCCTCATGACCCTCACTGTTGCCCTATTCTACTGTGTCTGAGCTGGAATCCAAGACACAAAACAAAGTCTTCTTTACTCTTTCTGCTCCCCCTACTCCTCTCCTGAAGTGAAAGAAGGGGTCTTTTTTGGAGCCATGAGCTGTGCTCCCTGTGGCTGAGGGAGTGGTGGTGCAAGCCTCTCTTAGCCACCCTGTCTGATATCTCTGCAGGTTTCATGCCCTCCAAGTCCACTGTCTACGAGCCCAGTTCAGCACTGGGATTCACCTAGTTGCAGTTCTTGTGGTCTAGACTGCCTTTCAAGTTTATTTATGGCCCCAGAACACTTTAGCGTGTGGTGTTTGGCTGCTAGGCTGGGCAATTCCCCTCTGGCTAGGGCTCCTTTAAACGCTCCCTCTGAGGGTGTCAGCTGAGTTCAGCCAGGTTTTGCTGTCTCTCTTTTTTTTTTTTTTTTTTTTTTTTGAGACTGAGTCTTGCTCTGTCGCCCAGGCTGGAGTGTAGTGGTGTGATCTCGGCTCACTGCAACCTCTGCCTCCTGGGTTCAAGCAATTCTCCTGCCTCAGCCTCCCAAGTAGCTGGGACTATAGGTGAGCGGCACCACATCCGGTTAATTTTTGTATTTTTAGTAGAGATGGGGTTTCATCATGTTGGCCAGGCTGGTCTTGAACTCCTGACCTCGTGATCCACCTGCCTTGCCCTTCCAAAGTGCTGGGATGACAGATGTGCACCACTGCACCCGGCCAGCTAGGTTTTGCTTTCTGCTGTGACGGGCAGCACTGATTTCAATGCAGTGTCTCACAGCTGCTGTGCTCGCTCTCTCCCAAGCTCACAGATTATCTCTTCGCACCATGTGGCTACTGGTGGGGGATGGGGTAGAGGTGGTGTCAGTGATTTAAGGCTGTCTTTCCTACCCTCTTCAGTGCCTCTTTCAGTGATATAAAGTTAAAATCAGGTACTCTGAATGCTCATTTGATTTTTGTTTTTTGTGAAGTAATTTTTTGTGTAGATAGTTGCGAAATTTGGTGTTCCAGCTGGGGAGATCATCAGTGGAGTCTTCTATTTGGCCATCTTGCTCTGCCCCTTACCACATCTTACGCTTTCTGTGTACTCTACTATCTAGAATAAAGGTTTAAGTTAAATTGTTTCATTCTTAATATATATGATTCTTAAAATATTTATAGAGCTTTTAAATATGTTATCATACCTGAAAATAAAGTGAAAATTACACTATCTCTGCCTAATAACTTCTAGTAAAATATATTCTTTTGGCATCACAGAAAAGCATTTGATAACAAATATGCAGCAACTATTAAGTGATTTTTCCCGTAAATTTATTTTCTGCCTCATATGGCTGATCATATTTCCTTCAGCAATTTTAATTAGTCTTTCCCAGGGCATGTGGCTATGAAAAGCTTTGTACAAAATAAAAGAAGTGACACCTATAGAATAGGTTAGTAGAAATGACTTAGGCTGCACTGCTGATTCTTCAAGTCTCTATGGATCACTTCGAGGGAGAATAGCTAACTAACCATACCAGTAGTCAGCTAATGGAGTGACAGATTGTGTGCCTGAGGGCTAAATCAATGAATAAGAATATAATCACATGATTTAAAATTCTAGATGGGACATTTTCTCATGCTTAAATAATCTTGGTGTCTTTGGCTCAAAGCTATTTAGATGTATGATGAAGACTATCTCTAACGGATTAAAAATATGAATAGGAATTGTTAACCATTGCTTAGACTATCATGGTTGTCTATAATCCTATATATTTATATTCCCTTCTCCCATGTAATTTAAAGATTTAATCCTTAATCTACAAATTTCTAGCAAGAGAGCAAGGCATTTGAATCTGTTTCTTCCTGATTAATTTGTTCACTTATTGAACGAAGTACAAAGGTAATATGAAATATTAGGAAAGCTATAACAATCTTAACACTTTCATTTCTAACTCTAGCTTTCAAGTTTCATGTTTTGAAAAAAACTCTTAAAAATAATGGCTTTTTTAAAGTAGCAGTCATCTTTAGGATTAATATATTCGTCATACTCAGCAGATTTTCTTGGGAGATCTCTCTCTCTTTCGCTCTCTCTCTCTCTCTCTCTCTATATATATATATATATATGTTCAGCCATATAAGTCTCTCTCTATAGAGAGAGAGAGCGAGAGAGAGCGCCTCATATGTCTGAATATATTTCCTTCAGCTATTTTAACTAGTCTTTCCCAGGGCATGTGCCTTGAAAAGCTTTGTACAAAATAAAAGAAGTGACACCTATAGAATGGGTTAGTAGAAATGACTTAGGCTGCATTGCTGATTCTTCAAGTCTCTATGGATCACTTCAAGGAAGAATAGCTAATTGTATATATATATATATATACAGAGAGAGAGAGAACAGATATGTATATATAGTATATACATAAAATTATATATTATATATGATTTTTTTTCAATAATTTATTTTTTTTTCAACTTTTATTTTAAATTTAGGGGTACATGGTTACATAGGTAAACATGTGCCATGGTGATTTGCTGCACAGATTATCCTATCATGTACGTTTTAAGTCCAGCATCCATTACCTATTTTTCCTCATGCTTTCCCTCCCCTGACCTCCCCGACCCCATCCCCTCACAACAGGCCCCAGTGGGTGTTGTTCCCCCTCATGCGTCCATAGGTTCTCATCATTCAGATACCACATGTAAGTGAGAATATGTGGAATTTACTTTTCTGTTTTTGTGTAACTTTGTTGAGGATAATGGCTTCCAACTTCATCTATGTCCACGCAAAGGACATAGACTCATTCCTTTTTATGGCTGCATAGTATTCCATGGTGTTTATGTACTACATTTCTTTATGTACCACATTTTCTTTATGTAGCTCTCTACTTACCTGCTGTTGGTATATAGGTGTGCTAGTGACTTTTTTCACATTGATTTTGTATCCTGAGATTGCTGAAGTTGCTAATCAGCTTAAGAAGCTTTTAGGCTGAGATGATGAGGTTTTTGAGATATAGGATCACGTAATCTGCAAAGACAATTTGACTTCTTCTGTTCCTATTTGAATGCCCTTTATTTCTTTATCTTGAGTAATTGCCCTGTCCAGAACTTCCAATACTATGTTGAATAGGAGTGGTGAGAGAGGGCATCCTTGTCTGGTGCTGGGTTTCAAGGGAAATGCTTCCAGCTTTTACCTATTCAGTATGATGTAGGCTGTGGGTTTGTCATATATGGCTCATATTATTTTGAGGTATTTTCCTTCAATATCTAGTCTATTGAGAGTTTTTAACAGGAAGGGATATTGAATTTTATCAAATAAATCACATTTATTGATTTGCATGTGTTGAACCAACCTTGCATCTCAGGGATGAAGCCAACTTGATCATGGTGGATAAGCTTTTCGATGTGCTGCTTGGTTTGGTTTGCCAGTATTTCCCTGAGGAGTTTTGCATCAACGTTCATCAAGGATATTGGCCTAAAGTTATTTTGCTTATATATATATATATATATATATATAAAATCTTCCAGGTTTTGGTAACTTTATTATGCTGGCTTCATAGTCACAAAGCAGGCCCTCTGTTTCAGTTTTTTTTGGAATAGTTTTAGTAGAAATGGTACCAGCTCTTCTTCATAACCCTGTAAGAATTCAGCTATAAGTCTGTCTGAACCTGGGCTTTTTTTCAGTGGGTAGGCTCTTTATTACTGTCTCAATTTCAGATCTTGTTATTAGTGTAGTCAGGGATTCGATTTATTCCTGGTTCAGTCTTGGGAGGTTGTATGTGTCCAGGAATTTATCCATTTTTTTCTAGATTTTCTAGTTTATATGCATAGAATTGTTTAGTAATCTCTGATGTTTGTATTTCTGTGGGGTCAGTGATGATAGCCCCCTTATCATTTCTGATTGTGTCTATTTGATACTTCTCTTTTTTTCTTTTTTATTAGTCTAGCTAGTGGTATATCTATGTTATATATCTATTGTTATATATTTTATATGTACTCATTGATATTTTAAGGGTTTTTTAATGTCTCCATCTCCTTCAGTTCAGCTCTGATCTTTCTGGTAGCTTTGGGTTTGTTTGCTCTTAGTTCTCTAGTTATTTTAGTTGCAATGTGGGTTTTTAACTTGAGTCTTCCTAGCTTTTATATATGGGCATTTAGTGCTATAAATTTTCCTCTTTACACTGTTTTAACTGCATCCTGGAGTTTCTGGTATGTTGTCTCTTTGTTCCCATAAGTTTTGAATAACTTCTCAATTTCTGTCTTAATTTCATTACTTACCCAAGAGTCATTCCAGAGCAGACTGTTCAATTTTCATGTAGTTTCATGTAGTATTGAGTAAATTTCTAATCTTGAGCACTAATTTGATTGTGCTGTAGTCCTAGAGGTTGTTTGTTATAATTACAGTTCTTTTGCATTTGCCAATGAGTGTTTTGCTGCTGATTATGTGATCAGTTTTAGAGTGGGTGCCATGTGGTGATGAGAAGAACGTATATTCTGTTATTTTGGGGTGGAGAGTTCTGTAGATATGAACCAGGTTCACTTGATCCAGAGTTGAGTTCATGTCCTGAATATATTTGTTAATGTTCTGTCTCATTGTTAAAGTCTCCCACTATTACTGTGTGAAACTTTAAGTTTCTTTGAAGATCTCTAAGAACTTGCTTTATAAATTTGGGTGCTTCTGTATTGGGTGAATATATATTTAGAATAGGTAGCTCTTCTTCTTGAATTGAATCCTTTACCATTATGTAATGCCCATCTTTGCCGTTTTTGATCTTTGTTGGTTTAAAGTCTGTTTTGTCAGTAACTAGTATTACAACCCTTGCTTTCTTCTGTTTTCCATTTGTTTGCTAAAATTTCCTCCATCCCTTCATTTTGAGCCTATATGTTTCTTTTCACATGAGCTGGGTCTCTTGTAGACAGCATATCAATGGGCCTTGGCTCTGTATCTAGCTTGTCATTCTGTGTCTTTTAATTGAAGTATTTAGCCCATTTACATTTAAGATTATTATTGTTATGTGTGAATTTGATCCTGTCAGTATGATGCTAGCTGGTTATTTTGCAGACTTGTTTATGTGGTTACTTTATTGTGTCACTGGTCTGTGTGTTTTTGCAGTGTCTGGTAATGGTTTTTCCTTTCCATATTTAGTGCTTCCTTAAGGAGATTATGCAAGGCAGGTCTGGTGGTGACAAATTCCCTCAGCATTTGCTTGTTTGTAAAAGATCTTATTTCTTCTTCACTTATGAAGTTTAATTTGGCTGGATATGAAAGACTGGGTTGGAAATTCTTTTCTTTAAGAAAGTTGAATATTGACCCCCCAATCTGTTCTGGCTTGCAGGGTTTCCATTGAGATGTCCACTGGTAGTCTTATGGGCTTCCCTATGTAGGTGACCTGGCCTTTTTCTCTGGCTGCCCTTAACATTTTTTCTTTCATTTTCGCTTTGGTGAATCTGTCAATTATGTGTCTTGGAGTTGATTTTTTTTTTTTCTGCAGTGTCTTATTGGGGTTGTCTGCAGTTTCTAAATTTGAATGCTTGCCTGTCTTACTAGGTTGGGGATGTTCTCCTGGATAATATCCTGAAGTACGTTTTCTAATTTGTTTCTGTTCTCCCTTTCAGGTACCCCAATCAGTTACAGGTTAGGTCTTTTTACATAATCACATATTTCTGAGAGGTTTTGTTCATTTCTTTTCATTCTTTTTTCTCTATTTTTGTCTGCCTGTCTTATTTCAGAAAGATAGTCTCCAAGCTCGGAGTTTCTTTTCTCTGCTTGATCTCTTTTGCTATTAATACTTGTGGTTGCATTGTGAGTTTCTGTGTTCTGTTTTTCAGCTCTATTAGGTCAGCTATGTTCCTCTCTAAACTAGATATTCTGGCTATCAGCTCCTGCATTGTTTTATCATGATTCTTAGCTTCTTTGCACTGGGTTATAACGTGGTTTTTTAGCTCAGTGAAGTTCATTATTACCCACCTAATATTATGTTACACACCTGACTCCTATTTCTGTCAATTCAGCCATCTCAGTCTCAGCCCAGTTCTGTAGTTTTGCTGGAGAGGTATTGTCATTTGGAGAAGAGGTGCTCCGACTTTCGAGTTTTCAGCATTTTTACATTGATTCTTTCTCATCTTTGTGGGCTTATCTATCTTTGATCTTTGAGGTTGATTACCTTTGAATGGGTTTTTTGTGGGGTCTCTTTTGTTGAATTTGTTGTTGTTTTCTGTTTGTTTTCTTTTAATAGTCAGGCCACTCTTCCACAAGGCTGCTGCAGTTTTCTGGGGATTCACTCCATATCCTCAAGATGAGATTATGGGAGTATGCCCAAGAGGGAATTAGTCAAAAAAATGTGTCAAAATTTTGTATGTCACAAAGTGAATTTCTTCTCAGAAACTTGTTTTTGGATCTAAGTAAACAGGTTTTTCCAAATTATTAATGACCAAACAAAATTTTGAGTCAGTCAAAATAAATCTTTAATTTATTTAAGAGTTCAGGTTTGAAATTGCATCCAAAGGTGTTTGCTCATTTTTACTTAAGGTTTGCTAATAAGGTTAGATTTTAATTATTGAAAAAATCACTTCATACCATTGCTGAAGTTCTATGAATTGCAATCTTCTAAATCCATTTTGTGATTGATAGGATGAAGTTTTATAGATTTTGCATGATGCTATTTACTTGTGAAATCTAAAAATGTTAAATTTGGAGAAACAAAGTAGAATGGTGGCTGCTAGGGACCAGGGGAATGTAGAAATGGGGATCTTGTCAAAGTATATAAACTTTTAGCTATAAGATGTATAAATTCCTGAAATCTTAAAATATAGCCTGGTAACTGTGTTTAATAATAATATATTGATGATTGAAATTTGCAAAGATTAGACCTTAAGTGTTCTCAGCACAAACACACAAAAAGGTAACTATGTGAGGTGATGGATATGTTAATTAGTTTGATTGTGGAAATTATTCCATAAGTTTATAAGGATTTTCACATATATTTTATATCAAAACACCATATTATATACCTTAAATATATACAATCTATTAATTTGTCAGCTGTACCTCAACAAAGCTGGAAAAATATTTAATAGCTTTTGAATTATAAACCAAATTTTCTTCAACTTTGAGATATTTATTTTTTCACCCCTTTGGCAAAGAAATCCAACACTCTGAGTTTGTCTGATGATTGTGTGGGGAGAATTGCCACTGAATCTCAAGCTGTTCAGATTCCTTCTCAATAGCATTCAGGATAATCATTGCTAGCATGGCATTGAGATGGATCTTAGTCCTGTAAACAATGTTCAAAACTGATGCCTTGCTCTGGAAAGCAGTTCCTGCCACATAAATCATAGATGCCATAAAAATCACTTGACAGGAGAGGTAAAATTGATAGGCGATTACTACTGAAAGAATGATTGACAGCAAGACAATGCAAAACATCTCTGACTGAGGGAAATGTGGCCCATAGAGGACTGTGTTTTCAACCCATGAAAAATGGTTTCCACAGCAATAAATAGAAAACTGCTGCTAGCTTATAGATTTCTTCTAAAATGACTGATTATGGGAAAAAAGGAAGTAAAACTCCATATATTGAGGGGTAAAGGTGACCTGAATTTTGCTTCCTGTAGTGATTCTCAGACCTGCACATATATCACAGTGATTAGCGGTGCTTCCGAAGAATGGAGATTCCTCATCCCTACTGCAGACATAGAGAATCTTAAACTACAGGGTGGAGCCTTGGCCTCAGCATTCGAAAAAAATCCCACACATGATTAGTATAAATAGTCAGGTTTGGGAATCACAGTTAAGAAATATTTTCATAGCAGTTCCTTTAAAAATTTAGCTTTCACCTATGAGGAAGTCTATTTTTATCATCTTCATTTTCTCTATAGTATTGATTTTACATTAATACACATTCAAACTGTAATAACTTGTTTTTGCATTATCATAATATACACATTTTAATCTCTAGGACAGGTCAAGAAATATGATTTCCTTTTCCTAGTAACTTTCGGTATTACCTATTATCTACAGATTGAGACGCAGTCTCTTTTTGTCAAATTTGGGACGCAGCGTCTTTTGGTCAAATCTCTCTCCAGTCTGTCTTTGAGCATTTATTTGTGTACCATATCTTCAGCAATCCATTATCAAGCCAAGCACTCCAGACAACTATACGTTTGCCTATTATGGTAGAATGGCAAGAATAGCAGTTTCATTATTTTTGTCAATAATAACATCCCAGGAGTAAGAACTGACCAAAGAGATAATTGAAGTTATCCAGGGATTTAAACCAGCAAGATGGAAACAAACAAATTAAAGAAGTTAAGGTATCCAGCAAGCTGGACAGTGAAGATTTGGAACAGTGAATCAAAGTGATTAGAATAGAAAGGACTATAAAACTAGGAGGGTGTGATAGGCTGCCATGATTGGAACAAACAGAGGGAACAGAGGACAGATGAAAAAGTGATGCAAACTCAATGGATATAGACAAGTAAAAATGCCAGAGAGAGATATTAACAATTTTTGGAAGCCTAAATTGGTAGTTTCTTCCTGTGGTGAAAATAAAGATAGTTTTCTTTGAGAAAGTACAGCATCTCTAAGATAACACTGTTGAAATTTTCATGTTACGATTGAGATTCCTCAGGATATTAACATGAGTTTGGATAAACTGAAAAATAATGGAAAAGGTATTAATATATTCTTGAGATAAGTAGGGACTGTGTGGAAATTTGGAGATTGACTTTGATAAAAATGAGAGAGAGGGTATAGAATCTTATGATATGGACTTTAAATAAGGAGAAATTGTCGAATGTGGTAGAATGATTTTTTGTAATAAAGAGGACAGTGAAAATTATTCCAGCTTTTTGCCTTGGTGCCAATTGATGTTTGTGGAAGAGGTAATACTTTCTTTCTAATAAGTTTTAACATTTCAATAAATATAGATTAACCATTGCATGTTTAAAACTAAGCTGTATTTTAGAAGTAAAGGAAGGATATACATGTGAATAAAATGAATTTCTTACCTTTAAAATGTGCTTACAATCGCATCTGGGAGACAGTTCTGCACCCATCATAATGAATGAACAAGAGACTGAACCAAAGGTACTTATAATATTTATTGTATCCCAAATATAGAACGATTTTGCACAGAATTCCAAATTCAAATTGCTATCATGGTATAGAAAACACATTTTAAATCCAATTTAGCGGCATAGGAAATGATCCAATTCTCAAGGCTGGTAGCTGAAAAGAAAAGCTATGAATTTATAACTCACATATGTTATTATTTAAACAAATGTATTAAATAATGCTCAAGGTTAAGTTAATATTTTTCTTGATAGAAAGTGAACGCATTTCATGGGAAGACATCAAGGAAACACAGAGCAAGAGGGCTAATGGATTTTCAACTTGACTGATTTATTCTATTTAAAAGAAGCTGATGAAGAAATTTAAAATTTTTCCTAGTTTGGGGTTATAAAGAGAAAGAGACACCATGAGTACATTTATTAAATTTGTTTTACATCACTTATAACTTATGTTAATACACATACAACTATTTGCAAAAAAATACTTCATAGCGGCTGTTGGGCAAGTGTCAATGGTGTGCAATTACTAGGACCTTTGAAAATGACTCACATCTAGCTTGGATCACCTCACTCATTAATTACTTTATTCAATAATTTAATAATTCCATTATTAGAAGACTTAATTTAATGGTGGAAACCAATTTTATAAAGACACACTAATGTAGAATAGTAATTGCATCAAGCTAATCTTGAGAAAGTAGTACTCGAGTTCAGATTCTGAAGAATGAGATGGAGCTAACTAGAAAGGAGCAAGAAGAAAAAAAGATATAAAAATGTGTAAGTTTCTGAGCTTGGAGAAATCATTGGTGAATTGACAGAACTAGAATAAAGCCATCCTGATTTGGCACTGGAAGACATAGGGAGCTTGGTGTCAAATAAGGCTTGACATGAAGTAGAGGGACAAATTATACAGGATTTTTTGAATATATGCAAGTTATTTTACTTTATATTTAGAAAAATAAGAAACCATAAATAACACTTACCAATACTCTCAATTATTCTGTATAACAGTCAAGCACAAAAATCTTAGCAGTAGATTGAGAGAGGCAGTTCATCTTTGTTCCTTATGGCTCTTATTCTCCTTTTAGCCATGGGCTAGCCTGGACAAGTTCTCTCCAAAGGGGTGGAAAAGCACTTACTTGCAAGGCAGGTGAAAAATCCTGAGGCGTCTGACGGTCTGGGCTTGGAAATGGATCACTTTGATTTCCAGCTTCAACTAACGGCCAGGCAAATCTCATGGCTGGGGAAATCCACTCTACTACTAAAGTCAAGGGGTGTGGAAATGTACTTCACTACTCTATTGGGGAAGGAGAAATAATGAAGACTTCTGAGTTTTAATCTAACCTACCACAATAAAGAAATTGTTAAGTATGTGTTTGTATGTTTGTTTGTGTGTGTGAATGAGAGAGACACAGAGAGAGAGAGATGGAGGGAGAGATGCACTAGAGAGAGAGAGAAAAAATAAAATAACTACATTACCTTGTAAAATTATTGGTTCAATATGGAGAATGGATTGGATATATCTATCTATTGATCAATTGGTCTGTTTTTCTATCAAGACCTCTGTAGTGTCCCAAAGAAATGATAGTTTTTTGGACTTGGTTGAGTGAAGGTCGTGAAAAAAAAGTAGATGAATTTAGGACAGAAAATCAAAAAAACTTGGTGATGCCGTGATTTTAAGGGTAGACTAAGAGGAAATTATAAAGATATATATAAAGTTTCTTTCTTGATAAATTGAAAACTTGATGCCGTTCCTTAGGAACAAAGCAGCAGAAAGTGAACCAGTTTAAATAATTGAATTACGACAAAACATTCTGCTTTGGAAATATTCAATTCCAGGTAAATTTGAGATATCCCAAAAGAAATATTAATTAGAGAATTAGATTTTAAGGTTTCAATCCTAGAGGAAGCTGTTGATAATAAAAGTTCTCCTCTGTTATTTCTCCTTACGTACCAAAAAAGAATATTGGGAAATACTGAAGAGCTAAGTTTTTATTAAAAGCCCAGGTAGAGGAAGAACAGTCATCAAAAGAGTCAGAAGTTGGTAGAATGGTAGAGGGAAAGCCAGAAAATTGTTGTGTCATGCAGCCGAGTGAAGAGTGTGCTTTAAAAAAGAAATAAATAAGCAAGAGTCAAATGCTGCTTTGAAGTGAAATAAAATGAAAAACAAAAGCTTCCATTCAATTTCCTGCTTTGCTTACATAAAATAATATTTTTAAAAATGTGATTAGTCTTAAAATTGAGATACAGGTGATAGCTGTTAAGAGAAGGAGTATTCCAGCGAGGGTATGTTGGTTTGCTTTTGCTTTTATATTTCATTTCATTTTATTGGGTAAATCACCCATATGTTACTATAGAACCATAAATATATCTCTGGTATTTTGTCCTTCTTTCCCCTATTATTTCTTCTTTATATAAAAATAAACACCCTTCAAACTCTTGCTAGAGCTAAAAATAACATGTGCATGTAAAAAGGGCACAATATTGTCTTAAGGGAATGTGCTACTTCTCCAAGAGCAATTACAGCAAATAGTATCATGCCAACAGGAGCTGTTGAAAGTTATATTGTTGATCTGTGGTTGGAGAACAGCATATTGGATATCAGCCATATGAATGGCAAAAATAATCCCCTAATATAATACAATAGTTATATGTAAAGCATTAGGCTGAAGTGTAATATTTTTTAAATATTAAATTTTAAATTCTTAGTGTACTGAGGATGAGGGGTGCTAAATTTAATTAAGAAATCAACTTCCTCTTTTAAATGATTTTACTTTGTATTATGTCAGGAATAGAATGCTCGAAACTAATGTTCAAAGTAAAAAAAAAAATGCTTAAATTTAAATGAATGTAAAATCTTTGTTTTGATTACAGTGAAGCTACCCTGATTCATTTAATACTAATGGCATCAGTGATGACTCTAAGTTTCGGAAACATTCCATAGAGTACTTCTTAGGTTTTTGCATAACTTAGTCATATCGAATACTAGAACTGGAAAATGGGTGCGAGCCTTTTTCCCAGGAGAAACCATCATCGAAGTCAGTACTACTCAGAAGATAGTAAATACCCTGACAAA
Source organism: Homo sapiens (assembly GCF_000001405.40). Lineage (NCBI taxonomy): Eukaryota > Metazoa > Chordata > Mammalia > Primates > Hominidae > Homo > Homo sapiens. The sequence continues at coordinate 73,192,807 of NC_000012.12, forward strand.
CATGCTGACTTATACAAGTCTTTACCATTCTACTAGAAACCGATATATTCGAATAGTCAAAAAATTTGTGATGAAACCTATAAAGTGATTCAGAGATGGTAGTTTAAAAAACACAGTTCATTTTTACATCCATTATAATAGCATTGTGCATTATACATTATAAATAATATTTCTTAACATAATATCCAATATGTAAAAAGCTACATTTGATTACTAAAAGAACATTTTTCACACTATGGTCCTAGAGTGTATAATAGTGGCCACAATATAATCGGTGAAAAATAAGTGGTTGCTGAAGAAATTGATTTTTATAAAAATATTTTCCAACACACAGAAGGTAAAACAAAAGACTTCAGTGTTTTCGTTCCATATTGATTCTGACCTGCCTGATGGCAAGTAAATAATACTTAAAGCAGAAACATCAATTGGTAATCTGCTGAGACTGAATAACTCATTTCCCACTTATCATAGAAGAAGGTAGACAATGTTTTCAGGTTAATTCTTAATTTTGAAACTTATTCTCTTAAAATGCCTCAACTATGTGAGTTTGCTTTAGGTGATACATAGAAGTTTGAGCAGTTTACCCTCTCATCTGTTGCGCTTTCTTTAATTTTTTTTTTTATTGTTTCATCTTCACTTGTAGGGTAAAAGAGAACTTGATTGCATAATTATAACGTAACAGATGGTCACTATTAAATTTAATACTAAATACCCTATCTAGGGTAATTATGTGGTTCCTTAGTTTAGTAATCAATTCAGGAGCCTGAATAAGAGCATTTATAACATAGTTCTATTTATGTCATCTTTGGCTATTTTCTTTTTTTTTATTATTATACTTTAAGTTTTAGGGTACATGTGCACAATGTGCAGGTTAGTTACATGTGTATATATGTGACTTGCTGGTGCGGTGCACCCACTAACTTGTCATCTAGCATTAGGTGTAACTCCCAATGCTATCCCTCACCCCTCCCCCCACCCCACAACAGTCCCCAGAGTGTGATGTTCCCTTTCCAGTGTCCATGTGTTCTCATTGTTCAATTCCCACCTATGAGTGAGAATATGCAGTGTTTGGTTTTTTGTTCTTGCAATAGTTTACTGAGAATGATGATTTCCAATTTCATCCATGTCCCTACAAAGGACATGAACTCATCCTTTTTATGGCTGCATAGTATTCCATGGTGTATGTGTGCCACATTTTCTTAATCCAGTCTATCATTGTTGGACATTTGGGTTGGTTCCAAGTTTTTGCTATTGTGAATAGAGCCGCAATAAACATACGTGTGCATGTGTCTTTATAGCAGCATGACAGCATGATTTATAGTCCTTTGGGTATATACCCAGTAATGGGATGGCTGCGACAAATGGTATTTCTAGTTCTAGATCCCTGAGGAATCGCCACACTGACTTCCACAATGGTTGAACTAGTTTACAGTCCCACCAACAGTGTAAAAGTGTTCCTATTTCTCCACATCCTCTCCAGCACCTGTTGTTTCCTGACTTTTTAATGATTGCCATTCTAACTGGTGTGAGATGGTATCTCATTGTGGTTTTGATTTGCATTTCTCTGATGGCCAGGGATGATGAGCATTTTTTCCTGTGTTTTTTGGCTGCATAAATGTCTTCTTTTGAGAAGTGTCTGTTCATGTCCTTCGTCCACTTTTTGATGGGGTTGTTTGTTTTTTTCTTGTAAATTTGTTTGAGTTCATTGTAGATTCTGGATATTAGCCCTTTGTCAGATGAGTAGGTTGCGAAAATTTTCTCCCATTTTGCGGGTTGCCTGTTTACTCTGATGGTAGTTTCTTTTGCTGTGCAGAAGCTCTTTAGTTTAATTAGATCCCATTTGTCAATTTTGGCTTTTGTTGCCATTGCTTTTGGTGTTTTAGTCATGAAGTCCTTGCCCATGCCTATGTCCTGAATGGTAATGCCTAGGTTTTCTTCTAGGGTTTTTATGGTTTTAGGTCTAACGTTTAAGTCTTTAATCCATCTTGAATTGATTTTTGTATAAGGTGTAAGGAAGGGATCCAGTTTCAGCTTTCTACATATGGCTAGCCAGTTTTCCCAGCACCATTTATTAAATAGGGAATCCTTTCCCCATTGCTTGTTTTTGTCAGGTTTGTCAAAGATCAGATAGTTGTAGATATGCGGCATTATTTCTGAGGGCTCTGTTCTGTTCCATTGATCTATATCTCTGTTTTGGTACCAGTACCATGCTGTTTTGGTTACTGTAGCCTTGTAGTATAGTTTGAAGTCAGGTAGCATGATGCCTCCAGCTTTGTTCTTTTGGCTTAGGATTGACTTGGTGATGCGGGCTCTTTTTTGGTTCCATATGAACTTTAAAGTAGTTTTTTCCAATTCTGTGAAGAAAGTCATTGGTAGCTTGATGGGGATGGCATTGAATCTATAAATTACCTTGGGCAGTATGGCCATTTTCACGATATTGATTCTTCCTACCCATGAGCATGGAATGTTCTTCCATTTCTTTGTATCCTCTTTTATTTCATTGAGCAGTGGTTTGTAGTTCTCCTTGAAGAGGTCCTTCACATCCCTTGTAAGGTGGATTCCTAGGTATTTTATTCTCTTTGAAGCAATTGTGAATGGGAGTTCACTCATGATTTGGCTCTCTGTTTGTCTGTTGTTGGTGTATGAGAATGCTTGTGATTTTTGTACATTGATTTTGTATCCTGTGAGTTTGCTGAAGTTGCTTATCAGCTTAAGGAGATTTTGGGCTGAGACAATGGGATTTTCTAGATATACAATCATGTCGTCTGCAAACAGGGACAATTTGACTTCCTCTTTTCCGAATTGAATACCCTTTATTTCCTTCTCCTGCCTAATTGCCCTGGCCAGAACTTCCAACACTATGTTGAATAGGAGTGGTGAGAGAGAGCATCCCTGTCTTGTGCCAGTTTTCAAAGGGAATGCTTCCAGTTTTTGCCCATTGAGTATGATATTGGCTGTGGGTTTGTCATAGACAGCTCTTATTATTTTGAGCTAACGTCCCATCAATACCTAATTTATTGAGAGTTTTTAGCATTCAGGGTTGTTGAATTTTGTCAAAGGCCTTTTCTGCATCTATTGAGATAATCATGTGGTTTTTGTCTTTGGTTCTGTTTATATGCTGGATTACATTTATTGATTTGCATATATTGAACCAGCCTTGCATCCCAGGGATGAAGCCCACTTGATCATGGTGGATAAGATTTTTGATGTGCTGCTGGATTCAGTTTGCCAGTATTTTATTGAGGATTTTTGCATCAATGTTCATCAAGGATATTGGTCTAAAATTCTCTTTTTGGGTTGTGTCTCTGCCCGGCTTTGGTATCAGAATGATGCTGGCCTCATAAAATGAGTTGGGGAGGATTCCCTCTTTTTCTATTGATTGGAATAGTTTCAGAAGGAATGGTACCAGTTCCTCCTTGTACCTCTGGTAGAACTCGGCTCTGAATCCATCTGGTCCTGGACTCTTTTTGGTTGGTAAGCTATTGATTATTGCCACAATTTCAGCTCCTGTTATTGGTCTATTCAGAGATTCAACTTCTTCCTGGTTTAGTCTTGGGAGAGCGTATGTGTCGAGGAATTTATCCATTTCTTCTAGATTTTCTAGTTTATTTGCGTAGAGGTGTTTGTAGTATTCTCTGATGGTAGTTTGTATTTCTGTGGGATCGGTGGTCATATCCCCTTTATCATTTTTTATTGCGTCTATTTGATTCTTCTCTCTTTTTTTCTTTATTAGTCTTGCTAGTGGTGTATCAATTTTGTTGATCCTTTCAAAAAACCAGCTCTTGGATTCATTAATTTTTTGAAGGGTTTTTTTGTGTCTCTATTTCCTTCAGTTCTGCTCTGATTTTAGTTATTTCTTGCCTTCTGCTAGCTTTTGAATGTGTTTGCCCTTGCCTTTCTAGTTCTTTTAATTGTGATGTTAGGGTGTCAATTTTGGATCTTTCCTGCTTTCTCTTGTGGGCATTTAGTGCTATAAATTTCCCTCTACACACTGCTTTGAATGCATCCCAGAGATTTTGATATGTTGTGTCTTTGTTCTCATTGGTTTCAAAGAACATCTTTATTTCTGCCTTCATTGCGTTATGTACCCAGTAGTCATTCAGGAGGAGGTTGTTCAGTTTCCATGTAGTTGAGCAGTTTTGAGTGAGTTTCTTAATCCTGAGTTCTAGTTGGATTGCACTGTGGTCTGAGAGATAGTTTGTTATAATTTCTGTTCTTTTACATTTGCTGAGGAGAGCTTTACTTCCAAGTATGTGGTCAATTTTGGAATAGGTGTGGTGTGGTGCTGAAAAAAATGTATATTCTGTTGATTTGGGGTGGAGAGTTCTGTAGATGTCTATTAGGTCCGCTTGGTGCAGAGCTGAGTTCAATTCCTGGGTATCCTTGTTGACTTTCTGTCTCATTGATCTGTCTAATGTTGACAGTGTGGTGTTAAAGTCTCCCATTATTAATGTGTGGGAGTCTAAGTCTCTTTGTAGGTCACTCAGGACTTGCTTTATGAATCTTGGTGCTCCTGTATTGGGTGCATATATATTTAGTATAGTTAGCTCTTCTTGTTGAATTGATCCCTTTACCATTATGTAATGGCCTTCTTTGTCTCTTTTGATCTTTGTTCGTTTAAAGTCTGTTTTATCAGAGACTAGGATTGCAACCCCTGCCTTTTTTTGTTTTCCATTTGCTTGGTAGATCTTCCTCCTTCCTTTTATTTTAAGCCTATGTGTGTCTCTGCATGTGAGATGGGTTTCCTGAATACAACACACTGATGGGTCTTGACTCTTTATCCAATTTGCCAGTCTGTGTCTTTTAATTGGAGCATTTAGTCCATTTACATTTAAAGTTAATATTGTCATGTGTGAATTTGAACCTGTCATTATGATGTTAGCTGGTTATTTTGTGTGTTAGTTGATGCAGTTTCTTCCTAGTCTTGATGTTCTTTACATTTTGGCATGATTTTGCAGCCTCTGGTACCGGTTGTTCCTTTCCATGTTTAGTGCTTCCTTCAGGAGCTCTTTTAGGGCAGGCCTGGTGGTGACAAAATGTCTCAGCATTTGCTTGTCTGTAAAGTATTTTATTTCTCCTTCACTTATGAAGCTTAGTTTGCCTGGATATGAAATTCTGGGTTGAAAATTCTTTTTTTTTAAATTGTTGAATATTGGCCCCCCCTCTCTTCTGGCTTGTAGAGTTTCTGCCGAGAGATCAGCTGTTAGTCTGATGGGCTTCCCCTTCTGGGTAACCCGACCTTTCTGTCTGGCTGCCCTTAACATGTTTTCCTTCATTTCAACTTTGGTGAATCTGACAATTATGTGTCTTGGAGTTGCTCTTCTGGAGGAGTATCTTTGTGGCATTCTCTGTATTTCCTGAATCTGAATGTTGGCCTGCCTTGCTAGATTGGGGAAGTTCTCCTGGATAATATCCTGCAGAGTGTTTTCCAACTTGGTTCCATTCTCCCCGTCACTTTCAGGTACACCAATCAGATGTAGATTTGGTCTTTTCACATAGTCCCATATTTCTTGGAGGCTTTGTTCATTTCTTTTTATTCTTTTTTCTCTAAACTTCCCTTCTTGCTTCATTTCATTCATTTCATCTTCCATCGCTGGTACTCTTTCTTCCAGTTGATCGTATCGGCTCCTGAGGCTTGTGCATTCTTCACATAGTTCTCGAGCCTTGGCTTTCAGCTCCATCAGCTCCTTTAAGCACTTCTCTGTATTGGTTATTCTAGTTATACATTCGTCTAAATTTTTTTTCAAAGTTTTTAACTTCTTTGCCTTTGGTTTGAATTTCCTCCTGTAGCTCGTAGTTTGATCGTCTGAAGCCTTCTTCTCTCAACTCGTCAAAGTCATTCTCCATCCAGCTTTGTTCCATTGCTGGTGAGGAACTGCGATCCTTTGGAGGAGGAGAGGTGCTCTGCTTTTTAGAGTTTCCAGTTTTTCTGCTCTGTTTTTCCCCCATCTTTGTGGTTTTATCTACTTTTAGTCTTTGATGATGGTGATGTACAGATGGGTTTTTGGTGTAAATGTCCTTTCTGCTTGTTAGTTTTCCTTCTAACAGACAGGACTCTCAGCTGCAGGTCTGTTGGAGTTTGCTAGAGGTCCACTCCAGACCCTGTTCGCCTGGGTATCAGCAGCAGTGTCTGCAGAACAGTGGTTTTTTGTGAACTGCGAATGCTGCTGTCTGATCATTCCTCTGGAAGTTTTGTCTCAGAGGAGTACCCGGCTGTGTGAGGTGTCAGTGTGCCCCTACTTGGGGGTGCCTCCCAGTTAGGCTGCTCAGGGGTCAGGGGTCAGGGACCCACTTGAGGAGGCAGTCTGCCCGTTCTCAGATCTCCAGCTGCATGCTGGGAGAACCACTGCTCTCTTCAAAACTGTCAGACAGGGACATTTAAGTCTGCAGAGGTTACTGCTGTCTTTTTGTTTGTCTGTGTCCTGCCCCCAGAGTTGGAGCCTACAGAGACAGGCAGGCCTCCTTGAGCTGTGGTGGGCTCCACCTAGTTGGAGCTTCCGGGCTGCTTTGTTTACCTAAGGAAGCCTGGGCAATCACGGGCACCCCTCCCCCAGCCTCTCTGCCGCCTTGCAGTTTGATCTCAGACTGCTGTGCTAGCAATCAGCGAGACTCCGTGAGCGTAGGACCTTCCGAGTCAGGTGCAGGATATAATCTCCTGGTGCGCCGTTTTTTAAGCCCGTCGGAAAAGCGCAGTATTTGGGTGGGAGTGACCCGATTTTCCAGGTGCCATCTGTCACCCCTTTCTTTGACTAGGAAAGGCAACTCCCTGACCCCTTGCGCTTCCCGAGTGAGGCAATGCCTCTCCCTGCTTCGGCTCGCGCACGGTGCGCTGCACCCACTGACCTGCGGCCACTGTCTGGCACTCCCTAGTGAGATGAACCCGGTACCTCAGATGGAAATGCAGAAATCACCCGTCTTCTGTGTCGCTCACGCTGGGAGCTGTAGACAGGAGCTATTCCTATTCAGCCATCTTGGCTCCTCAGCTATTTTCTTTTTTCTTCTATTCTTTTCAGCCTATGTTTTGCGTTTGCATCATGGTAATAAATAATAGCATCTAATTCTTTATCTTAGAATCTAAGAAGTGTTAAAAAATCTGTCATGTAAAACACTAATTCTGATTACACTAGGAGCACCTAAAGTTATTTGTAAGTTAATTGAATGTGGTTTGGGAAAAAGTATCATCTGCCTTATGGCATTCATTTGCATATTAATAAAGAAACTTTGTTCAGTAGAGACATTTTCTGATTAAATCACGAATGTAAGAGCTCACTTAGAGATTATATGATTTCAAACTATGAACTGAAAAAGTCATAATTTCTAAAGAAAAGTCTTCTCAGACAAGCAATTTATATAAAAGAGCAAAGAAACACATTGAAGCTATTGATACCATGTCTATACATACCAAGAGGCAAAGAAAGCAATGTTCTAAAGCATGTTACCAAAAATTTCTGGACTTTTATTAAGAAAATTTTATCTCTAGTGATTTTTTAGAGCTTTGTGGTGGTCAGATAAGTTTCCCAATGTTCTTGCAAGGAGGGTCTTGGGAGAAAGCTGAGAGGTTATCATAGGTTGTGAGATCCTGGAACACATACCCGCTATGGCCAGCCATGGCTATTAGGCTTTGAATTAGTAACATAAAATAATAAGAACTATTTAAACTGCTTCACATGAGGGGAAACCCTACCAATCCATATGTCTGAAGCCTACCAACAAACTTCTAGATTATTCTCTAGAGAGTTTCATTTGTAAGGTCCTTTGTCAACCTTGCTTAATTTGGATTTTTAAATAAATGGGTATAAATCATGTAGCCTGTTCTAAAACATTCTGGAAAAGTTTTCAGAAAGCTTCGTTTTCTAAAAAGATTTTATTACTTAAGAAGCCCCATTATTTAATCTAGTTGCTTCAGACCCTGCTTTGCAATTATGTAGTTTCTTTGGTTGAATTCATATTCAGCTTATTTTATGAAGATCATAATTTTGTATAACTACATTGTGGTTTTGTAATATGTCTTACATAACAGTCCTTGTGACTTGATATTCATTGACTTTTTATATTCATTATTTGACTTTTCCTTTCGGAAAAGGTACAACATTTGAACTCAAATTATGATAGTTTCTCATTGTAAATATATGGTCATCAGTGTAAACTATTAATTAGCACCTCATGGGATTTTCTTAAGTGTCATCACATTTTTGGCTTAAATTTTTCTTCTCAAGTTACCTTTCTTTCAAAGCAGGCATAAGATATAAAAAAGGTAAGTGTTGGCTTCCTCCAATTAATAATTCTCTTTTAAACAATGATGATACTACTGACAGTAAGTAGTAATGGTGGGTGATGTGTTTGCATTTAACCTTTTTTCTCCTCCTTTTCTCACTTGTCACTTGTAAGAGCATTCCAACTAAGTCAAATGGAAAAAAAAAAAAAAGACTGAGGCTCAACTTGGCATCATTAAAGCACTGACCCATGTAGGGATAGGTATAGACAATGCATGAAACTTAGAGTCATATTTTATTACACTTGGAGAATTATATCCAACAACTTTCTACTGGACATCTCTACTTGAATGCTTCAGAGATATGACACACATAATAAATACTAGGTTTACTTTCTTCTTTGCTCCTCAGATCTCCCTATCTTTTCATTTTTTTCCTGTCTTGCCATTAAATACCTCTCTTGCCACCATTAAATACCTAGTTAAAACATAACCCTGGAAATTAGCCTCAATTTCTCCCTCTTGTTTAGCCTTTAATTTCATTGGAGATAAGACTCTATCCATTTTGCCTCTTAACACTTCTTGAATTCCTCCCTTCCTTTCCATTCTCACTGCAACTACTTTGCTTCAGACCACTATGGCTTCTCTGCTAGACTTCTCTAAAAGTGCCTTGAGAGGATCCCATGCCTCTGGTCCTGTTTTTATCCAATCTATTTTTCACACCATTGTAAGAATTACCTTTATAAATCACAAATGTGACTATGTCATTTCTCTGCCAAGAATTCTTCTGTGACTTTAACTTTCTACTTCTAATAAGTCTTTAAGAGGCTTATGACACACTGTAAGAATCTTTCATATTCTAGCAACTCTTACCTCATAAGCCCTATTTCTTGCCAATCCTTCTCCAGTTCCTTACTCAGGTCATACTTACTTTCTTGTAATCCTCAATCAAGACATTTCTATTTTTTTCCTGAACCTATGTGCATGTACTTCTGTAAGCCTAAACATATCTTCTCTTTTTGTTTTGCTTAGCTAAATTTTATGTCTTTTTCAACATTTATGAAGGCTTTAAAAAATAATTTCAACTTTTATTTTAGATTCAGAGGGTACATGTGTAGGTTTGTTACATGAATATATTGTGCATTACTGAGGCTTCAGATACTAATGATCCGGTTACCCAGGTAATAGGCATACTATCCAACAACAGTTAGTTTTTTTCAACCCTTATCCCCAACCCCACTCTAGTAGTCCCTAGTGTCTATTATTGCCATCTTTATGTTCATGAGTACCCAAGGTTTAGCGCCCACTTATAAGTGAGAACATGCAGTTTTGACACTCTCTTGCTACCCTTTTGGGTTTCTATTTTATAAGTTGTTGTAAAATCTCAAATTTGCTTTGATTTGACACTTATTAAGATAAATCACAACTGTATTTGTCTGTTCTCAAGCTGCTAATAAAGAAATACCCAAGATTGGGTAAATTATAAAGGAAATAGGTTTAATTGACTCACAGTTCCACATGGCTGGGGAGGCCTCACAATCATGGTGGAAGGGAAAAAAAGAAGCAAAGTCATGTCTTACATTGCAGCAGACAAGAGAGAGCTTATGTAGCGGAACTCCTATTTATAAAATCATCAGATCTTGTGAGACTTATTCACTACCATGAAAAGAGTATGGGGGAAACTGAGTCAATTATCTCCACCTGGCCCCACCCTTGACATGTAGGGATTATTACAATTCAAAGTGAGATTTGGGTGGGGACTCAGCCAAACCATATCAACAACTGTCTTCTGCTAAACCTAAATATCCTCAACCTAGAGATTGTGTCTTTTATTTTACTTCTCACAATTTCTAGCACAGTGCTTGACAAATAGTGCACAGTCCAAATTTATTTGTTGAATAAATGATTGAATGAATGAAACCAGATTAATTTACTTGATTTTTCTCTTCTGATTTTTCTTGATTTTGCTGTTAGAAAGTTCTTATAAAAATGCAAACAAACTCATATGCAGCACAATCAGTATGTGTCCCAAGTAGACAAAGGACTCCTACTTGACACTGTTCCATACATGTAGATAAATCACTTCTACATTATAATACCTACCACCATCCATGATGTTCTCCCTACTTAAGACCTCAGGAGTATTGTTGACCATTCTGCTTAATTGGTTACACCCAATATTGAATAAGTCTTTTTGAATCTATCCTCCAAATTGCTCTTGGAGGCTTTTCCTACCTCTTCTCTTAATTCCCGTAACCACTGTATTATTCCTGCTCCCATCATTTTTCGTCTAAATTGGTTTCCCTAAATAGCTTCATATTTTCTTATCTCATTCAACCCTGTACAGTCTAGTCTCTGTAATATTACCATAGTCATAATTCTAAAATATAAATTTATTTATATTCTGTGCTTAAAATCATCCAACAGTTCTCTAATTTCACATAGAAAAGTCAAGATTTACTTACAAGGTGTGGCAGATAAAATGTTTTATTTATATCAAATCTATTACATTTTTGTCTTTGGGCACTCCGATTAAGTCTGTTCCTCAGATTCCATTACTGATAGACAACATTTCAACATTTCAACTGCATTGAATCTTGGATCATAACATGAGTAAACAATGTAAACTTTATTTTGTCAATCTGATGAAATTCAAAGTTTCTCTGTTAAAGCATTTACATTTACTTACACTGATTAATATATATGATAACCACAGCACTGTGGTTAAGAACATGAGGTTTTAAATTACAAATGAGTCAGAGTCATGGCTCCAATATCACTACATATGGAAATGTAGGTAAATCACTTTCTTACTCTAAGTTTGGATTTTCTTTTCTAGAAAATGGTAACTATCTCATTGTGATGTTGATAATTGAACACATAATTAGAACTCAACAAATACAGGCTATCAGTATCTACAAAACCAAGATAATAGCATTTACTTTGTATAGGATTGTTTTGAAGGTGAAGGAGGTAATCTGTGAATAAGTATTTAATATAGTACTTGCACATTCTATTTGCTTAATTAAAACTAATACATGTGGATGTTATTATCATCATCATCAATATGAATTTTATCTTTAAAATTCATGACAAGGTAATGCTTCAGAATGACCCTAAGCTTATTGAAACTTCAAGCAAACCAAAACTTAAATTATGGTAATTTCTCAGTTATCCAACCAACAAGGTGCTGCTTACACAAATATTATCTAGTTTTACTTTGAATGAACAAGAAATGCAGCAGTAGCAGTGACCATTTAAATCTTCAAATATTGTCCCCCTCCCCACATACTTTATTTCTGTGAACAATTAATGAAGCACAAATTGCTTTTTGGCTGTGGAACAAGAGGAAGGAGGAGGAGTTAGTTCAAATAATGAGCAAATTAACAATAATTACTTGAATGAAACTTGCCCTGAATGCCATATGTTTCTATTATACTTTGACAATGGTTTTAAAATCTCGGTTATGTTTAGTTTATTTGGCAAACTGTATTTTAACATCATCTCAAAAGCTATGATCTAAGGAAGGCATAACTAAACTATATTTGGTAAAAAAGAAAAAAATGATACTACATTTTTTAAGTATGTATAAGAACATATTTTAAATCCTCTTCACTTTCTGTTATTTCTAATTTTATGAGTCAAAAAACTCTCACAAGTACATGATTTTCACTTACAGGTACATTATAGCATACTGAAAACTACAATTGAATTATGAATAATAGCTGTGATTTTAGAAGCTGAGAATGAAAATGAAATAGTATAATATTTACCTCTCTTTAGAGTATATTTAGTCTAGTTAAAACATGCTGGCATAGATTTGAGCAGGTAATAACTGACTGTATTTTAAGGCTTGAGGCAAAGCCCAAGGTACTAACTCAAGCAGGTCATTAACGCACTGGTAAAAATGCTCACAGGATATATTCTGGCTTTCTATTTCTATTTGTGCATTTTATATGGTGTATTCATTATTGAAGATGCTAAAACTACTTGGGCTAAATAACATATTTTAGCATAACTTGATAATTTATTAATTAATATTACCTTGTAAATTGACCATTTTAAATCTGTTATTCTTTAATAGTTAATTTTCCTTTTTACTATCTACCTTATTTCTTACTATAATAATGAATATCTATAGTGTTTCCACATCTTAGTTTTTAGAAGTTATGTCTATTAAGCAGAAATACAATATTAGACTTCCCAAAAGTTTAGAGAGTTATATCTGTATTTGGCAAATACTTCCTAAATATTTATTGTTGATTAAATTACTTATCAATTATTTATTGTTTTGACTGGGATGCCAATATATTAGTGACTTTAAGGGATTAGACAGCTGTATTTTTTAATCCTGAAAATTTTATCTGTAAGATTCAATTTATTAAATACTAATTGAAAAAAAGTATTTTCCCTGGCTACTCTGCTGTCCTTTCTGCACACTTGAACAGGACCATTTCTCACATCCTCCCATATTTACTGGAGTTTATTAGATGTTTAACTCCTCACTTCTCCTGGCATATATATATATTTTGCTTGTCTGAAATCAAGCCTTTTCTCATGTAAAGTATCTATCTTCCACTTATTTCTATATATGTGTACTTTTCAAGGATACCGATCCCTCCTCACCTAGAAAATTCTAATTTAAAACTTATAAAATTTTCTACTTGCCAAACCAAGAAGGGATTCTCTGCTGCCTGCCAGTTTGCAAATCCTGGTTATGGGATGAAGCCCAAACTTCTAAGCATGGCCTATACTGTCCTTCAACATCTGGCTGCTGCCCTCTGACTTGGCTCATCTTACCACCACTTTGATGTGCAAATAAGACTCCAGTTGCCTCGAAATAGTTGTAACCACCTCCCTCCATCTTTTATGTAAGACTTTGTGCTCTTACACAGATTTGTCTCTCTGTCTGAATTTCCTCCCCCAGCTATTCGTTTCATATATCCCTGAGACTGGTTGGAAAACTTCTCATTCTCCAAGTAACTGTAAGTGTTACCTCCTTTGAAAAACATTTACTCAAGCCAAGTCAATGGTTTCATAAATATTGCAGAATTTCTCTTATAAAAGTAGAATTATCTACTTATCTCTGATGACTTCAATAAGACTTGTAATTCTTGAAGACATGAGTGTCTATCTATAAGCTTAGATGTCTTGTTCTCATTACTTCTTACCTAGACATTGACATGAGTCTCCTAAATTAATTAATTCTTTCTGCTATGGAGTTTTATTTGTCTCACTTAATGAGACTAGTAAGGTGAACCACAATGCCATCAGATACCCTGATTTTTATATTTTTAGCTTGCTTTTTTTTAGTTCAGACATATCACCTTGCAACTACAAAATGGCTGTCCTACTTCCAGCATCACAGTTATATTCTGGGCAAGAAGCACAAGAGCAGCAGGAGGTAAAAGTGTATGTCCTGGCCAGATTAGTTCTCTTTAGAGACTTTTTTCTCAAAAAATCAAATATTTTCTCTCTATTATATATGATTGGACAAAACTATGTTACATAAACGTTTCTAGCTTCCAGGGAGAGCTAGAAAATGATAAATTCTTAGTCGGTCCATTTTCACCCTGAATAAAACTGGGTTTTCTTAGTAAGGAAGGAAAGAATGACTATTGGCTTACTTGCAGATATCCTGGTCCTCATTATTTAAACTTCTCTTTGTTCTTCTCAGGGTGTTTCCACACAATAAGTTGAATACATTTTTATAGATCAACTGGATGATTTTAAGAGAAAAACCATGAAAGAACAATAATTAATCACCAAGAAAAATAAAAAGAAAAAATGAGAAGAACAGTTTCATTTCTAGAGTTAATTTCCAGTATATGGAAACATAGGCTTATCTTTGGAGGGAACAGCACACACCACAGGAATGCCAAGTACCTATAGGATGGTGATACCATACATGACATGACTGAGAAAGTTCTTCTTTTCTGGAGTCCTAGCTAGGTTCAGCTCAGTTTTCTTGGTAGTGTTTTTCAGGATAGCCCCATCCCAACTGGTTTGGCCTGTTTCCCTTTTTCTTGTAGGTGTTTTCCTTTCTTGATGGTATCTATTTTGCTACTTACAAATAGGCGGTAATGGATTAATACCAGACATCACTCAAGTAACATATTAACACTTTAACAGTAGGCTTTTATATAAGGAAATTATTAAATCTCAGTTTCTGGATATGTCCATGGCAGGAATAGTGGTGGGTGGGTATGATTTTTAATAACCTCCAACTCATAAGCATAGACAGTGTTCACACTGGGTCAGTTTGTTTTGCCCCCTGAGATATTTAGGATAGTCGACTTTATCTGGATCTCTCCCTTCCCCTAGGTGGCACTACATTTAGATGCATGCTCCACCAGTGCTAGATTTGTTCTATGAAACCATTTGTAAATCACAGTTGAATAATTGCTCTTTCTTTCCCTTCCCTTAAGCTCTTACGATGCATAGAGTGCCTAGAAAACCCACACAAAATTACTATCCATTCTACAGAGCACCAATCTCATGGAATAGAAGTTTCCTTAATGATTTTGTCCTTCTCTGGGAACCTATCTGTGAGTTCTAGAGAACTCACACCACAAAGAAAACTGTCTGCTCTGAATATGCCGGATCCACTCAATGCTGAAGTGTGTTCTCTGCTTCATTGGCGGCCTGATGATTGCAGCACTCTCATAACCAGTCTTCTGATACCCAAGCTCTCAACTCTCATCTCTCATCACCTTACCATCAGGAAACATTCTGAAACAAGCATCTGAAACACATGATTCTCAATGCTTTATGCTGGTTAATGATTCTTTATTGTTTAAAATATTTAAGCATGGTATCAAATGTTGCTCAAAAGCTGACCACTGTTTTGATACCAGTACCATGCTGTTTTGGTTACTGTAGCCTTGTAGTATAGTTTGAAGTCAGGTAGCGTGATGCCTCCAGCTTTGTTCTTTTGGCTTAGGATTGACTTGGCAATGCGGGCTCTTTTTTGATTCCATGTGAACTTTAAAGTAGTTTTTTCCAATTCTGTGAAGAAAGTCATTGGTAGCTTCATGGGGATGGCATTGAATCTATAAATTACCTTGGGCAGTGACCAATGGAACAGAACAGAGCCCTCAGAAATAATACCACACATCTACAACCATCCGATCTTTGACAAACCTGACAAAAACAAGAAATGGGGAAAGGATTCCTTATTTAATAAATGGTGCTGAGAAAACTGGCTAGCCATTAGGTAGAAAGCTGAAACTGGAATGCTTCCCTACACCTTATACAAAAATTAATTCAAGATGGATTAAAGACTTAAATATTAGACCTAAAACCATAAAAACCCTAGAAGAAAACCTAGGCAATACCATTCAGGACATAGGCATGAGCAAGGACTTCATGACTAAAACACCAAAAGCAATGGCAACAAAAGCCAAAATTGACAAATGGGATCTAATTAAACTAAAGAGCTTCTACACAGCAAAAGAAACTACCATCATAGTGAACAGGCAACCTACAGAATGGGAGAAAATTGTTGCAATCTGGAGTTTGAGACCATCCTGGCCAACATGGCAAAACCTTGTCTCTACTGACAATACAAAAAGTAGCCAGGTGTGGTGGCACATGCCTATAATCCCCAGCTACTCAGAAGGCTAAGGCAGGAGAATCACTTGAACAGGGAGGTGGAGGTTGCAGTGAGCTGAGATTCTGCCATTGCACTCCAGCCTGGGCGACAAGAGCGAAACTCCGTTTCAAAAATAAAATAAAATAAAATAAATTCTCACCAATAATCTAATACCTGAATTAGATCTCACTGAACTAACTTCCTCATTTTAGGAGCAGTACTTACCATTGAGATCCCCAAGTTACACAAGCAGTGAGTCCTATTGTTGATATGTAAGCATAGGTATTTTGACTCCAAGTGGTGTCAAAATTTTTTCGACTTTTTAGAAAAAGTAGAGGCTCACAGTGTCAGAACAAACTCGGCTGCTGAATGTGAATTCCTCCAATTTGCCATCCTTTCCTGCTGAACAAAGGAGGTAATTCTGTACTAAGACTCTTCTTACTGATAGATGTGGTCCACAGTCTATGGTCCTGACCTGGGACTTGCCATGAACTTCTTGGCTTCCAGACCTTGCAGTTCATAAGTAACAAAGGCCAGAGATTTGTAGTATTGTTGTGGGAGAAGGCATCCTGATTCTCAATAATAATACATTAGTTCTCAGTAATAATAAATCGATGGACAGTTGGGAACCAAAGAATCCAGGGTTAGTGATGAGATACTAGAACATTCAGCTATTTTCAGGACATAGTGAGTTCACTTGAGAGTTCTCTATAGAGAAGTTTCATACTCTTATAACTATCTGTCTTCAAATGGAGATCAGATAAAAAGGGTAGGCAGAGTAACTTGCGAGGAATGAATAGCCTTTTTTCCCCTCTATTTCTTTAGCTCATATAGAACTCTGAGTTGTCAATCTTGCGTATATACATCATGCAAAATCAACTTTGTTTCGGAGCTCCGTGGCAGATTCTCATTGTCTTTTTATCAAGAAAAATAAAACATTTTGCTATTATATTTACAATAGCTATGTTTCAAGCTTTTATACTTTTTCTATTCTATTTTTCATTTTTGCACTTCAGAGTGCAAAGGCATGTTTCACAGCATTGTAAAAAAAAAATACATATCATCTAATTCCTCTAACTTCCCATATCTTGACTAAAACTCTGTGTAAGCATAAGGTACCATCTTACATTGTCACTCTATGTACTTCTGGCTCTGAACCATCTTTCCTGTTCCTGAGAGATACTCAGAAAAATAATAGGGCGTCTTCCAGATGATTATGTGTCTGTGGGAAGCGGGTTAGGGAACACTAGACATTGTTTGTAACCTCTAACAATCCATTATTCATAAGCATGGGGTATTTGAAGAGCTGTCTTTCATGATTAAGAGATGTTTTCATTTTAATGGTCTCATATGTCCTCATAAATGCGTAGGCAGCACTTATATTCCATCATGACAGAGATTTCTGGGCTATAAAAATACATATGGTTTTATTTTGTCTAATAGTTTTCATCATTGTCAATATTCTATTTCATAGCATAAAGCTCCACAATGTTAGGTATTTGCAGCAGGAGGTCGATTAAATATATACACACCACTTTGACATTCTTATGTTCTCTTCTAAAACAAGACAAAAAGTAAATGCAAAAAGATATAAAAGAGTGCAGGTAAAAATGAAAGAACAAGCAGCGTGAGATGATTCCAAAGTTAAGTTTTAGAAAAGATTTTTTTAAAATAGCTCTTATTTTAATTCGTGATTTAAATATAACATGTTCAGTATTTTACTTCTTAGAGATGTAATGAGAGTTAAATTAGACTATCTGAAAAGCACATCAAAGTTTGTATTTAACCCCTATTAAAAATACTATTTCTTACTGATAATTTTTCAATTTTGATTTGTAACCTAACCTAATAAAAAGACTGATTTTATTTTTATGACTGCAAACATACTATTCAAAAAGACAATGGCATTCATTTTGTGGAGTCTACATTCTGTCATACAGTGGTATGCAATATTATAGTGGGTAAAGAGAATTCCATTTTAGAGAGGCTTGGTTATGTTTATGAAAACTATGCTCATTCAGTGTACTGCTTTCATACATTTAATTCCCATGTAAAATTCATTAGGACACATTATGCTGTGAGAAACTTGGAAAGCATATTTTTCTGTTTTCGGTCCTGGAGCACATTTGTCATAAGTGCATGCGTTGGACATTTTCTATTCCGTTTCACTTTTATTTATAATTCTTACACAACCTTTTTGGAAGTGGCATTGAGTTTCACAATTTAGATTGTTTAGTGGAAGTTCACTGGCTACATTCCAAAATCTAATTACTTGGCTTAATTGAAAAACTTTTAGATTTGCGCTGGCTGGCATTTTCTTACTCCATAGATAATAGGTTAGTTTTTCTCCTCAAAGTAAACCTCCTTCCCAAACCAAGCACACACCTACAACACGTAGTTGAGCTGTGACTGCCTCCTGCTTATAATTACCAACAAAATAGAGGAAAGTCACAGGTTCTCCCTTCCTGAAGTGTTGCTAATAGAACATCTCAATCTTAGAAGGAAAAAAATGTTTGCTAGAATTTGGAACTAACAAATTGTCAAGATGCCATAATATGAAAGTAAGTTTCCATTTCACTTCAAAATATTTCAGCACTTTGTAAGTTTTGCTCAGAGTGATGGGTTAAAAATATTTTCTATAAACAAATATGGGACATAGTCATTTGACATTTAATAGAGCATATGCAATTATTTACATTTCCTGAAAGAGAAAATAGGAAAAACAACTTTCGGGGCATATACAGTATTCCATTGTCTTAATCTATTGTGTACTGCTGTAAAAAAATACCACAGACTGAGTAATTTATAATGAAAATAAATTTATTTGGCTCATAATTCTGGAGGCTGAGAAGTCCAAGACTGAGGGTCTACATCTGATAAGGGCCGTCTTGCTCGGTCATCCCATGGCAGAAGATGGAAAAGCAGAAGAGAACACGTAAGAGAACACATGAGAGGGAGGAAGGGAAGGCCAAATTTGAAATGATAACAAATGCACTGTCATGATAAGAAACCTTGCCCTGCAATAATGACATTACTCTATTCATAATAACAGAGCTCTGGTAACCTAATCACCTCTTAAAGGTCTCACCTCTCAACACTATTACACTGGGGATTAAGTTTCCAATGCATGGATTCTGGGGGACGCATTCAAACCACAGCATCAATGTTCTGTTGAAACTTTACATTTTAGAATAAAAGGAAAATCTAAATTTTTATTTCTTACCAGAGTATATGATAATGGAGAAAATTATAAAAATCATAATTAATTAAACAGCTGCTTAAATTCAACCCATGAGTCTATTAGAATAAAATAAAATTTGTTGAGGACATGTTAGTGCATGGCTACCACTGGCAATCAATTTCACATACTATTTCTTTCTAAATTTATTGAGGTATATTTGACAAATAAAACATGTATGTATTTAAGCTGTACAACCTGATGTCATGATATATGTATGCACTATAAACTGCTCACGATCAAACTAAGTGATATATCAATCACCTCAAATACCTTTTTATTGGACTGATAACACTTAAGATCAACTCTCTTAGCACATTTCAAGTATACAATACATTGTTGTTAACTAGAGTCACAGTGCTATATGTTAGATCTACAGAAATTATTGTTCTGTGTAACTAAAACTTTATACCCTTTGATTAACATTTCCCCACTTCTCTCAGCCTCTGGGCTTTGGAAACCACTGTTCTACTCTCTGCAATTATGAGTTTGACTTTTTAAAACTTCACATGTAAGAGAAATCATGCAGTATTAGTTTTTGTGTGTCTGGCTTATTCTACTTAATATAATGTCTTCTAGGTTCATCCATGTTGTTGAAAATGGCAGTATTTCCTTCTTTTGAATGCCGAATATTCCATTCTCTGTGTGTGTGTGTGTGTGTGTGTGTGTGTGTGTGTGTGTGTGTAACATGTTTTTAATCCCCTCTTCCTACCAGGAACACTTAGATTGGTTCCACATTTTGGTTATTTGTGAATGATGCTATAGAGAATATGAGGATACAGATATCTCTTTAGGATACTGATTTTATTTCTTTTGCATATACGTCTATAAGTGAAATGGCTGGATTATGTGGTAGTTCTATTTTTAAAAAATTTTTGAGGCATTTCCATACTGCTTTTCACAATGGCAACACCAATTTATAGTCCCACCAACATTGTAAAAGGATTACCTTGTTTCAACATCCTAACCAATGCTTCTCTTTTATCTTTTTGATAATAGCTTTTCTAGCAGGTGTGAAGTAATATCTCATTGTGGTTTTCATTAACATTTCCCTGATGATTAGTGATTTGAGCACTTTTTGATTTACCTGTTGTCCATTTCTATGTATTCTTTTGGGAAACATCTATACAAATCCCTAGCCCATATATTAATCAGGTTATTTACTATTTTGCTATTGAGTTGTATACATTTTTGATATGCTTTGCATATTAACCCCTTATCAGACACATGGTTTACAAGTATTTTCTCCCATTCCATAAGCTGAATTTTCACTCTGCTGATGATTTTATTTGCTGGGCAGAAGCTTTATTATTTGATACAGTTTGACTTGTCTATATATGCTATGGGTATTTGTTCTTTCTTTAGAGGTTATATCTAAAAAATTATTGCCCAGACAAATATCAAGAAACATATAGAAACTATATGTGCTTCTACTAGTTCTATGGTTTCTGGTCTTAAGTTTAATCTTTAATCCATGTTGAGTTGATTTTAGAATGTTTTATAAGACTATGTTCCAATTTTAAACTTTTGCATGAGGAGATTCAGTTTTCTCAGCACTATTTATTGACAAGACTGTCCTTTCTCCATTGTGTCTTCTTGGCATCTTTGTTGAAGATCAGTCGACAAGAAACACGGTTGTATTTCTGGGCTGTTTGGTTTCATTCATCAATCTCTCTTTTTGTTCCATTACCATACTTTTTTAATGGCTCCAGCTTTGTGATGCCTCCGTTTTTGGTCTTGTTGCTCAAAATTGCTTAGCTATTTGTGGTCTTCTGTGATTCCATATGAATTTTAAGATTTTTTTTCTATTTTTGTAAAGAATTTTACTGAGATTTTTGATAGGGATTGCATCGATTCTTCAGATCACTTTGGGTAGTATAGACATTTTAATAATATTAAATCTTTCAACCCAAGAGTATAGGATGGCTTTCCATTTGTCTGTATATTCTTTAATTTTCATTGATGTTTTATAAGTTTTAAAAGTCTTTTACTTTTTGATTGGGTTTAGTTTTTAGTATTTTAATTTTGTTGTTATTGTGAATGAAAATATTTCTTAGTTTTCTTTTCCAATGGTTCATCGTTTGTTTATATAAATGGATCTGATTTTTTGTGTTGATTTTTTATCCTACAAATTTACTGAATGTGTTTATTAGTTCTAACAGGTTTTATTTTTTCGGTTGAGTCTTTACCGTTTTCTACATATATGATCATGTCTTCTGCAAACAGATATAATTTAACTTCTTCCTTTCTTATTTGGATACCTTTTGTTTAATTGTCTAATTGTTTAACTAGAATTTCTAATAGTATGTTGAATAGAAGTGTTGAAAATCTACTGTATGTTGGGAGAAAAGTTTTGAGGTTTTCCCCATTTATTATAAAGTCAGCTGTAGAGTTTTCATCTGTGGCCTTTATTATGTTAGTGTAATTTCCTTATATACCTATTTTGTTGAGAGTTTTAATTATGAACATACGTTGAACTTTCTCAAATGCATTTACTCCATTTATTGAGATGATCTTTTTTTTCTATTTTTTTAAAAATGTGGCATATCGCATTGATTAGTTTGTGAATGTTGAACAATCCTTGCTTCCCAGGAATAAATACCACTTGGTTATGATGTGTAATCATTTTAATGTGCTGTTAAATTTGGTTTTCTAATATTATATTGAGAAATTTTGAATCTATGTTCATCAGAGATATTGGTCTGTAGTTTTCTTTGTATGTGGTGTCTTTGTCTGACTTTGGTATCAGGTTAAAGGTATACTCACAAAATGAGTCTGAAAGTGTCCCCTCCTCTAATTTTTGGAAAAGTTTAATTCTTTTTTGAATGTTTGTTAGAAGTCACCCTTGAAGACTTATGGTGGTGGGTCTTTCTTTGTTGGGAAGCTTTTAATTACTAATTCAAACTCCTTGTGTGTAATTGGTCAGTACAGGTTTTCATTATTTCTTGGTTTAGCATTGGTAGGTTGTATATTTCTAGGAAATTATCAATTTCTTCTAGATTATCCAATTTCTTGGTGTATAATTATGATAATAGTTTCTTAAAATTTTTTAAAAAATCTGCGGTATTTATTATAATAGCTTCTCTCTCATATCTGATTTAATTTGATTCAATGTTTCCTTCTCCTTGGTCTAGCTAAAGATTTTGTCAGTTTTGTTTACTTAAAAAAATCTTAGTTTTGTTGATTTTTAAAATTATTTTTCTAAACTCTTTGATTTATTTTGGCTCTAATCTTTATTTTTCTTTTCTTCTGCTATATTTGGGCTTAGTTTATTCTCCTATTTTGTTTATCATTTATTTTTATTTGAGTCTTTTTTAATGTAACCATTTATTGTTATAAATTTTCCTGTTAATACTGCTTTTGTTGTATCCTATAAGCTTTGCTATGTAATTTTTTTTGTTTCATTCATCTTAAGATATCTTTTAAATTCCCTGTTGATTTTCTCTTTAACCCAAGGGTTGCTTAAGAGTGTCTTGTTCAGTTTCCATGTATTAGTAAATGTTCATTTTTCCTTACTATTATTGATTTCTAGTTTTATTTCATTATGATGGAAAAGATACTTAGAATGAATTTGGTCCACTTTAATTTACTGAGACTTCACTTTGTAATTTAACGTGTGGTCTACCCTGGAAAATGCTCCATGTGTGCTTGAGAATATGTATTCTTCTGTTTGGGGGTAGAAAGTTCTTTATATATTTGTTAGGTCCTTTTGGTCTATAGTATTGCTCAGTTTGGCTGTACCCTTATTGTATCTGGGGTATTTCAGTCTTCTACTGTGACTGTATTATTTTTTATTTCTCCTTTGGGATTTACCAATGTTTGCTTTATATTTTATATTTTGCTTGTTTTTTGCTTTATGCTTTATATTTTGCATCTATGCTGGTATATATTCAGGTGTTTTGATGTTGGGTACATGTATATTTGTAATTGTTATATTTTCTTCTTGAGCTAATGCTTTGATCATTATATATAATAAACTTCTTGTGTTTTGTGAAAGATCTGAATTAAATCTATTTTGTCTGCTCTCTTTTGGTTACTATTTACCTTGAATATCTTTTTCCATCCATTTACTCCATCCTGTGTGTTCTCTTGTAGGTAGCATATAGGTGGATCTTGGTTTTATCCATTCAGCCACTTTATGTATTTTGATTGGATAATTTAGTCTGTTTACTTTTAAAGTAATTATTGATAGGTAATGAAGTAATCCTGCCACTTTGTTAATGGTTTTCAGACTGCTTTGTAGTTCTTTTCATTCTTTCTTTCACTCTTTCTTTCTTTATGATTTGATTGTTTTCACAGTGGTATGCTTGGATTCTTTTGTTTTTAACTGTTCCATATCTATTGGAGATTTTTCTCTTGTGATTATTTTAAGATCACATAAAACATCTTATTGTTATAACAGTCAATTATAAAGTGATAACAACTTAAGTTCAATCACATACAGAAACTCCACATTTTTACTCCTGCTTCCAACATTTTATGTTATTTAAGTCACAATTTTCATAGTTTTATGTGTGCATATGTTAACAAATTATTGTAGCTATAGCTATTTTTATCTTTCACCCTTTTGTAATGGCATCAAGCAAGATACACACCATCATTGGAATATTATTCTGAATTTGACTATATGCTTTCCTTTATCAGCAAGTTTTATACTTTCATATGTTTTCACGTTATTAAATAACTTCCTTTCATTTCAGCTTGAACAAATCCCTTTCACGTTTTTCTGTAATGCTTGCCTAGTGGTAATGAACTCCCTCAGCTTTTGTTTGCCTAAAAATGTCTCTGTCTTTTTAGTATCTGAATGACAACTTTGTCAGGTATTATATTTTTAGGCTAAAAACAGCAATTAATGATATAAAGATGTATGATAATTTTAGATACTGATAAATGTAAAGAAAAATAATATAATGTAATACAATAACTTTTGAGTAGAGTAGGCAAGATTATCTGAGGTAGATTTTTGGAACTTGAAAAAATGTTAAAAATCATAAAAATATGCTTATGATATTAAAATATTTGTTTTGAAAATATTAGAGTTATTAATAATATTAACAAAAATATTTTACTTAAATGCATTCCAATATATGTATTGTTCTGTAGGGTAATGAATTTTATAAAACAAATGAAATTCAAACTTCTTAATGTAGCATAGTCAAATAAACACTATTTTAATCTGTGCCAAAGATGGAAGCTTTATTTCCTTATATTGACATTTTGATTGACGGTTGATGATTGAAATTGCAATTCTGGTAATTTATAGGTAGTTGCAGAATGCTTGAATGGACAATGAGAAAATTAAGTATTGCACAAACTACTAACCACATTTTTAAAGGTATCATATGAGCTTAAAATGTCTTTTCTAGTGTTAGGCATTGTTTTCTATTCATATTATAGAGGAATGATTCTGAAAACTTTGACTATTATTGTAAAAAATATATATATAAAACTAATTATAATCAAAATTATAATTGTGCAAATAAATCCTAGATTTAATTCCATAATAACCATAGAGAGGTGAGAGAGTAATAACTATAGTTATTACTATAGAACATCAAATGCATCTTGATTTCACATTAGAAATTTTATTATTATTCATAGTAACATAACCATTTATGTTACAAAGTATTCCAAGAATTAGTAACAGATTAAAACTGGTACCTATTGTACTAATCAGAAATTAACACTGGTTAATTTATGCCAAAAAAGATATATATTAGAAGTTTATTCAGTAGGTCACAGAATCAGTCGAACCTGGATTTGAAAAGGAACCAGAACAGCCAAACAAAGACAAGAGAGCACTGCAGGTGCACCATGTTCAGAATAGCAGTGCTTGTTGCTGCCGGTGCTGGT